>NC_000006.12:14605454-14756969 GCF_000001405.40 Homo sapiens
CCATCTGAAGGTCAGCCAAAAAGATCAGTCGAGGATGAGACCTAATGACATCATCTAAATCCCTGGATCCAGCCATGTCTGAAGCCAACTCAAGCTCTAGACTTGAAAATTACATAGGCCAATACTAGAACTTTTGTAATTTAAACACAAAATTTCTAACACATGCTTATGTTTTAGTCGACAGATCCACCTTTAGTCTCCTTTAAATTGTTACTCAACACTTTGCCCACCCACAAAGCTGAGTTGAAAATGTTATTCCTACATACCTAAATCCCTACAGAATATAGATCTTTTCTTCTCTTGGAAACATATCCACCCAATTTTATTTCATGATAAAAGTGTTTTCCTCACCTATTTAGCTGCCATTTGCAGGGATCAAACCCCTTAGAATGCTCTTGTGAACTTTTCTTTTCATTAAGGCACTGGGTCCTTGCTTCTCTCCCCTGGTCTAAATGTACTGTCTGGATTTTCCCTTCCATTCCTCACTCTGCTGTTCTTATTTTCTGTCTTTGCTGCCTTTTCTTTTAAGGTATTCCTCGAGCAGGGGTAATTAACCCATTTATGCTGGAGGTTGCAAATTTTTTGTGTGAAAAATCAGACCTCGGCAATGACCTTGAGCAGTAGGATATAAATGACTCCCACACGCTTAGCGTTCCACTAATGGAACACTAGGCATAAATGAGTTAATGAGATGCACAGATTGTCCATTAATGGGCTTCAGGGATGTCTCAACGTCTCTTGAAATTATATGCAAGTTTTACATGAAAATCCATGTGTATGTATATTAGCTATCAATAGCTGTGTAACGAATCACCCTATAATTTAGCAGCTTAAAACAATCAACGTTTATTATTTCACAGTTTCTGCGGGCCAGAAATCCAGGTGTGGCTCCCCTGATGCCTCTGCCTCTTACAAGGAGCAATCAAGGTGTCCGTCAGGGACTTGTGTCACATCCGAAAGCTCTGCTGAAGGAAAACCCAGTGTTGAGCTCCTTCGTGCAGCTGCTGGCAGGATTCAGTTTCTCAAAGGTTGTTAGCTGGGGACCTACTGGTTCCTTGCCACATGTGCGTCTCCCTAGGCAGCTCACAGTGTGGCAGCTGGCTTTCCCCAGAAGGAGCCAAGAAACAAGACAGATGCCACAGTCCTTTTGTAATGGAATCTCAGCAGGGACATCCCATCTCTTTTGCTGTATTCTATTGATCAGAAGCCATTACTAGGCCCCACCCACACTCAAGGGAAGGAGATGACACGGAGGTATGAATCTCAGGAGGCAGGGCCCACTATAGAGGCTGTCTACCCAAATACATTTTGAAAAGGAAGAGGACCCATATCTTTTATCGTATCGTTAAACTTCTGAATCAACATTTGTATTATTTGTTCCTGTCTCAACCATCAGTTTCACCCAAAAAGTCTTCTAGGTATATTTTCACAAAACAGGTCACTAGATACCGCTCTGTGACTGAAGCTAGAGTTAACTTTCCCCTTCACACAGTCACTATATATATATGATGAAAAGATCCTATGCTATCACATGCCCCCATCAAACACACACACACACACACACACTCGCAAATCTTAGACCATGGTCACCTAATGAGAAATGGAGTGTTCTGACCAACAGGACAAGAATCTGTCTTGTAGAACATTGTTTCTCATAATTTTTGGTTTCAGGGCCCCCTTTACACTCTTAAAAATCATCAAAGACCTTCAAAGACTTATTTTTATGTAGGCTATATCTATTGATGTATCTGTGTTAAAAATAAAAACTGAAGAATGTTTAAAATATTTATATTTTTTAAAAATAACAACCTCATTATATACTAACACAAACATTTTCATGCAAAATAAAAACTTTTTTTAAAAACAAAGAAATTAGCAACAGTGGCAGTGTTTTACATTTTTAGAAATCTCTAATGTCTGGCTTAATAGAAGACAGCTGGATTCTCATATCTGTTTCTGCACCCAAACTTTATAAGATGTTGTTTTGGTGGAATTAGATGAAGAAAATCTGGCCTCATACAGTCACATAGACGTATCACTGTGAAAAGCAGAAGTATTTTAAAAGCCTTTTCCTGTAATTGTATATTTTTTTGATGCTACACCAAAACTTGGTGTAGTTATAGTTTCTTAAAACTTATAAAATGTGGAATCTGAAACCATCAACAATGACTTTTCTTTTTACATTCTACTACATTAAATTTCACTGGTCTATCTTACATTTTAAATGGATCATTTGCTGATGTGTGATTTTGTAACATCATGCATTGGCCATTTGAAGAAAAGAAATAATTCACTGAAATTCTAAAATCTTCCAAATGTTGGCATATTTTGTTACAAACTATCAAGAAATCACATTTGCAAATATTACAACCAATCTCATCATGCGTCTTTATGTAGTGGAAAATAGTCAAGTTCAAGGTGGAGAATACAAGTTTTCCAAAATCCTAATTTTCACTTGAAAGCCTAAATTTTATCATTGGCTATAAATAGTCAATATTTTTCTTGAAGTAACAGGCCCATTACGTTCATTTTGGAGAACATATCAGCAAAACACCCAAGTCAAAATAACTATAGTTTGTCTGCCAGTTGTTCTTTCAAATAAAAACAGTGTTCCATGAACAAAAGTGGGTAGTTCAACTCAAAATGAGTCTTTGCGGCTGGGTGTGGTGGTGCACATCTATAGTCCAAGAGATATTCTGGAGGCTGAGGTAAGAGGATCACTTCAGCCCACGAGTTCGGGGCTGCAGTAAGCTATGATTGTGCCACTGCATTTCAGCCTAGGCAACAAAGTGAGACCTCATCTCTAATAAATAAATAAGCAAACACACACACACACACACACACACACAACGAGTGAGTGTCATCCTTGAAACAATCATCGTATACTGGTACACAGCAGAATGTTTATTTATATTTCCCATTTGATTACACAGAATATGACAAAGAGTAAAGTGTTGAGATTTTATAAAGATTACACAGAATATGACAAACAGTAAACTGTTGAGATTTTATAAAGTTAATCAGTTGTACTGCTTTATCAAGGTCATTTATAGGGAACCCTGGCTTTTCACTTCTCTGGAGTGTAGTGAAGTATACAATGACCACTCGCACAGCCCAGGGCCACTGCCTGGACTCATCCTAAGATGCCGGCATTTTACCCCCCATTGCTTTTGCATCAGCAGTGCAAATGTCAACAACATACTGGGAAAACAGCAAGTAACATCTTAATAATAGTATTACGAAAATAGTTTAACTTCATGGACTCATTGAAAGTGGGTCGTAGAGACTCCTGGGGGAAGTATAATCAGTTATAAACTCTTACATATATATATAAATTCTAACACTCGTTATACTGAGGAGGCAGGATTTGATATACTATTTACTCATTTTGCTTATGAAGACTTGATCGGAGAACACAGTCCTCTAATAAAACGTTCTGATTTAATGAGCATGAACCAGCCAGTATTTTCCAAACATCACTAATTCACAAGTTTTTCCAGAGAAGTACAGTCATTTTCTAAACTTAAATATTTAAAAGAACCTTTTATCCATCTGAAAACAAATATATCTTACCACAAATAGAAGAAATGTATTAATATCTCTAAAGTGAATATATAACTATTTAAATCTTTAAAAACATTTTCAACAGCTGGTCATAGTGGCTTATGCCTCTAATCCCAGCACTTTGGGAGGCCGAGGTGAGAAGACTGCTTGAGGCCAGAAGTTCAAGACCAGCCTGGGCAAAAAGACCTGGGCAAATGAGACCCTGTCTCTACAAAAAAAAAGTATTTAGCCAGGCATGGTGGTGGTGCCTGTAGTCCCAGCGACTCGGGAGGCTGAGATGGGAGGATCGCTTGAGCCCAGGAGTTCAAGGCTGCAGTGATCTATGATCGTGCTGCTGCACTCCAGCCTGGGAGAGTGAGACCCTATCTCAAAAAACAAACAAAACAAAAACAGAAACAAAACTTTTCATCAAGTGTACTACCTAAAATCGTTTCAGGGACCACCATTGACTGCCCACTTTTGGAAAGCCTACCACAATCTCTGCCTGCCTTGAACTCCTTCACTTTGCCATATTCCACTGTATGCAAATTTGCTTCCATGTATCTTTTAGGTTCATATATCTACAGGTTGCAAGTCACTCCCATTGGGGATAATTAGAAAAAAGGAAACTGGGGATTAGAAAAAAGGAAAGAGAGGTAAAGCAGATGGCAGCAAAGAAAGAGAGGTGTGGGCTTGAAGCTCTGGGAGAGATAAAGGGAAAGGAAGAGAAGGAAGCTAGAGCCCTGAACGGCTCTGTAGAGTCAGGGAGGTGGGTGGGTGGAGAAGGGCTAGTAAAATATTCCTGAGAGTGATGAGCATTGGACTCTAGCATCAGAAACAAAAAGTGCCTACCTAACTGGGTTAAATAAAGCTCACCACATAATTTTTCCATTTGAAATATCCAAGTACTTTTGTGTCAATGGACTAAGGCAGGATTCAGGACACATCTAAGTTATAAAATCAGAAAAGCATTGAACATTTGGATGAAAGGCGCATGTGAATACACACACACACACACACACACACAGCCTCTTGGTGTGCATATTTCGCTCAATGAATCAAAACAAATTTGAAAGCATCTTGAGATTATGGGAAAGGAGATCATGAAAAGTCTCCATTGAGCAAGAAAGCATAAATGGAAATTAATAGTATAATGCTCATTATAACCCATTCAAGTTGTAAAAACGCCTTTCATATTCTTATTTCTGCTGTTATCTTTATTGTTTCATGCTAGCAGGTTTTTTAAAGTATCTGTGAGGGTTTTTATTGGCTCACTGGTTACCTTGGTTCTTAAAAACTACCTTTGCCATAAGACAGTGGTTTCAAGGTTCAGTGGAACGCACAAGGGGTCACAGATGGGAAAGGATCTGAGCTCTTCATCCTTCCTTCTGTGAGAACTTCTCTGCTTTAACCTACTTTGCATGTTAGTCCTCTGCCTAAGATTCCATCTGAAGAAAGGACTCTGGTGATATAAAAGAACATTTACTGGCCCAGCATGGTGGCTCACGCCTGTGATCCCAGCACTTCGGGAGGCCAAGGCAGACGGATTGCCTGAGCTCAGGAGTTTGTGACCAGCCTGGGCAACACGGTGAAACCCTGTCTCTACTAAAATAAAAAAATTAGTCAGGCGTGGCAGCATGCACCTATAGTCCCAGCTACTCAGGAGGCTGAGGCAGGATAACTGCTTGAAACTGCGAGGCGGAGGTTACAGTGAGCTAAGATTGCACCATGGCACTCCAGCCTGGGCAACAGAGCAAGACTCTGTCTCAAAAAAAAAAAAAAAAATTTATTTAAGTAGGAAAGCTACCGTCATAAGGTCTAAAGTCTCTCCTAAAGTTGAAAATTTATCCTTCCAACTGTCTTAAAAAAATTAATAAATACTACATGCCAAAATGATATACAGAAGCATGAATAGGCACATTATAAAAGAGGACACCCAAATGGCCAACAGGCATATGAAAATGTGTTTGCCCCTGGTCATCAAGTGAGCTCATCAAAAGCACAAGATTTCACTGCATGCTTCCTGGGATGGTTAAGTTAAAATAATAACAATTCCAAATTTTTGGCCAGAAAACAGGAAAAATGGAACTTCCATTGAATGCTGGCAGATGTGTAAATGGGTATAACCAGTTGACACATTGGCAGTATCTACTAAAGCTGAAAATAAACATAGCCTTTAGCCTAGCATTTATATTCCTGAGTATATAGTCAATGTATGGACACTCAAAGACATTCAAGAATGATCACAGTAGCATGATTCTTAATAGGCAAAAACTGGAAAGGAAACAAATGCCATCAACAATTAGATAGACAAATGGTAGCATATTCATACAATGGAACACTATACAGCAATGTAAAGGAATGAACTATTGTTAAATGTAATACCATGAATAAAAAGAAAACAAACACAAAAGAATATATTGCATGATTCCATTTATATAACAGTCAAAAACAGGCAAAACTGATCTAGAGCAATAGGAGTTAGGAAGAGTTATCTTTGTAGGGGAAGTAAGGGGAGGGTACCCCCGGGGGCTTTTGGCATACTGGCAGGCTTCTGTTTCTTGGTCTGGGAGTAGTCTCCCAATTTGTTTTCTTTGTGAAAATTCCTCAAGAAGTACACACATGATTTGTGCACTTTTATCTATTTGGTGTATTTCAGTAAGAAATTTACTTAAGAAAAACAAAACTATGTAATTTAAATGTTTTGTGTAGAATTTTAGGATCCTTTAGTGTTTTATTATTTCCAGGTACCATCACCCTTTTTTTTTTTTTTAGTTTTAATTTCTAGACACTGAACAGATTAAAAATTTGCTATTTTCCAAGAAGTCTCATTTTAATGGATTGCTACTCTAAAAGTGGAAGGGTGCACTCTCCTTGTTCTTATACCCCTGCCTCCAAAATATGCATTAATAAATCGATTCAATATATGAGCTTTGAGCACCTACATCAGCCAAGCACTGTACTTGGCTCTGGAATGCACAGGCAAAAGAGGCAGGCACAGTTTGTGCCTGGGAAAGTGTGCCATCTAACAACGGAAATCCCAGATGAAAGCAGTTGTCAACCAGTGCTAAACGCCATGACGAGCAAAAATCAGGATGTGAGGGTGTCATACCACAAAATGGGTATTTCTTCTCAAGTCCCTGGGACCACATTTCTCCCCACTATTTTTCAAGACCAGTTGCACTTGGACTGAGTACCACAGAGCGTGATGACTCGTGGTTGTTCTGTTTCCTGTTAACTTGTCACTCCGAATGGAATGTAGGGAATTGGTCTAATTCTATAGCTCCTGCTGGACTTAATTCTGGGCAGAATTGGGTCCTTGAAGATACACGATAAAAGGGGAGGAGAAAGTGGGTAGAACATCCATAAAGAGAGAATTTGTATTCGCAGATGCTAGGAGAGGCAGGAAACGTCTCTGCTGAAGGAAGTCAGAGGGTAGCAGCCTGAGGAGGGTGGGAGGGGGTGGTCTTCTAGAGCTCAGATCTCTAGGCACTCAGAACTTGTAGAGGAAAGACTCCAGAACCACCTAGCTGGCTGAATTCAAGCAAGAAAAAAAAAATTACCCTGACTTAACTGTTCTACTATGGAAACCAGGATACGTGTAGGGATAGAAGAGGATCACTGCAAAAACGTATCTACAGCTTTAGAAACTTCCTTGACGACTCATTCTGCTGTAGCTAATGTCTTGACATCCCCCACCAAGAAGATTCAAGAGAGATGGCACAGGGCTCACTCAGTGTAAGAAACATGTAAGGAACATGCACAGTGCCAGGATTCCCAGCAGCAAAACACTAACGGCTCAGGCTCCAGGAGAGATAAAAATAGGGGTGTGAGAAGAAGGAGAAAGAGAGACAGAGACAGAGAAAAAGAGAGAAATTTTTTGCTACAGCCAGAAGGCATCGAGATGCTGAGAAATAAAGGGAAGGTGGTGAGAGGCCAAAAATGATGCTGCCTTCATTTCTTAAATTACCAAAAAAATGAGTCTAATTACAGTTCTCCATCTGGTAACCTAACCAGAACATTCTATAACTTGCAAGGTCCTTGTCACTCTGGGATTATTATGGTTATTATTACTATTGTTTATTACATTTCAATATTCAAATACCTAAATTATGCAACTCATTCCTTTATCTGCCACATTCCAAATACATGCTTTCCAGAATACCAGCTCATGTTGTCACAATTTACCGACTAATTATAGAATACCCTAGGTCTAACTATCTGTTTACCGTGATCTTCAAAGCAATTAAATAAAATACAAAACTCTAGGCCTTTGATTTTTGTTTTCTCCCTACATAATGCGTGTCAAAAGAAATGTAAGTTCCTTCAAAGATCCTCAAAGTTGTGGTCCTGCTCTCGCACTGATTGTCTTTCTCCAGCAGGCTGGATGCTGGCCCCCTAATGAACATTACCACGCCACTGCGGACCAGTTCCTGAGGTGCACATTAACTCCATGTGACAGTTCCGGAGCCTGCAGCCTTGAGACCCCTTCTCCATTCCAGGCGCCTGTGCTTCCATCATCTTCCTATGGCAGGATCTGTATTTATAATTCATGCTTTTCCTTTGGTTTCCTTTCCAGGCCTCTCTGGGCTGGTGCTTAAACAAAATCTCTACCCACATCAAGCTCGTGTTAGTCCTTCCTCAATTAATAATTAATAGTAATGATAATAAGCTTGTGCAAATGCTTAAAGAGTATTTATCTTTTCGTCTTTCATCTAAAGATCATTTCTTTCATTGCTGCAAGGGGTACTACTGAGGCACAGATACAATTCGTACAACCCCAGACATCACTGGCTGATGTTTTGTATTACAGTTCACCAAAAAAGCCCAGAGTGCCCACGGTGGAAATATGCTGTTTTTGCCATCAGAATACAAATTGTCTTTTGGGTGGAGACAGTATTACATCTTTCTTTGAGGGGACACACTCCCCACTAACTATCCCAAATCTCAGCTCATGTCCTCAGTTGAAGCTGAGACTATCCTCAGTTTATGGAGATGGAAAATACCTCCTAGATTAAACCAACATGCCCAGTCTATATCCTTGCTACTCAAGAGATGTTCCTTGGACCAGCAGGCTTTGCCTCACCTGGGAGCTTGTTAGAAATGCAGAATCTTGAGTCCCACCTGAGACTTCCAGAGAGTCAGGATCTGGCTTTTAATAAAATTCCCAGATGATTCATATGCACATTAAAATTTCAGAGGCATGGGTCAATACCCCCTCCACATAATTGTCCTGGAGATGAGAAATTAGGCCAGTTATGACCAAGAGCATCTAATTCCTAGACTTTCACATTAGCAGTCATGGAAGCCTGTAGATTCTCACAGGGACTGGATTTGAACTTGAAAATGTGTCTTCCCCAGTTGAGGGCAGCCTTCTTGTAAGCAGAAAGGGAAAGCCTGAATAGAAATTAAATCCACACAGGGAAGAGAGAGAGACTGACTAAATCCTCAATTATATCATTCAGCCTCTGTATTCAATTGTGCCTGAAGCCTCATCTGTAATGAGACAGTTCAGATACCTGAGACCTGTAGCTCCTGTTTTTTAATTAAGAAAATACAAACTTGGCTTTCTGTCTCTTGCAACCAAAAGAATCCTGTCAGGGCCCAACTCCCAGAAGAATTTATGTCCTGACCATCCACAAGGGCAGGCAATTTCTAACATTCTAAAAGCAGGTCTAAGCCAGTTTTTGAACTTGTTCTTTCAAAACATCTCCTAGGTTATGCTTTTTAAATATGCACCACCTCAGTGGGAGAAAAAAATCCACAGGCCAAAGGGTACCAAATTGCTCAAAGGTTTCCTTCCTGCTTTTAATATCTTAGATGTGACCCTTGCTTCCCCTTCTTCTCTTAGAGATGAAAGAGTTCATGGAAATGCCAGGCACGCTGCTGTCATTTGGAAATGACAGCCAGCCAAGAGAAGGTTAATGCTCTCATCAAAAATGCCCATCTTCCAAGTTGGTTAAATGGGTCTTTCTGGTTCGCCTGACTGCTTGCTCCTTTCCCAGATAGCTCAGCATCTCAATGAAGTGCTCTTGCAATTTAGCTTTGCCCAAGTGCAACGAATGTCCAGGGTTTCCTACGGGTCCCAGGTTTAACAAAACTCAGCCACGAATCTGCCCAGAACGTGCCAAAGCACACGGATTAGCCCATGGCCATTGGAAGGACAATCTTCCAGGGACTGTTTTCTACTTCTGTAGGAACAAGAAGAAAGGGACACGACAGTGGCTTCAAGTAGAATTTGTTCCAAAAAATGAAGGTCCCCACTGCTTGCTTCCCCTCTTTTGACTTAGCAATCTTGCCATTGTTTCTCCAAGAGCAGCCCACAGGCCATGTGTCTCAGAATTACCTGGGGTGGTATTACAACTGTGGGTCCCTTAGCCCCATTACTACCTCTCCCGACTGCCCAAGCCCCACGTTAATTACTTTACTGGAGTTGGAATTAATGTGTTTAATAAAGGTCCTTCTGAACTGGAAATTCAATGACTCTGTCAAGAAAGGAGGATAACACCTTCTCTGAGAGGCAAGTGTTAAAAATACATGGTTAACAAGATGAGAAAGAAGCTTGCCAGGTGAGAAGAGGGGAGAGTAAACTTGACTCAACTACACAGATCTCTTGCTTCAGTTAGCTAATGGCGCCAGCCTCTCAGTGAATGAGACACAGAACCAGGCTATTTTGGGGAATGACTGGGGAGTGACTGTGGAAGTGGGGAAGAAGCAAAAAGTAACTGCAAAAGGAAAAGGGAGGTACTGTGGCAACTCTTGAGGTCAGCTTCTCACCCCGCCAAAGTTCTCAGAAGAGCTCAGCTCTGAGAAACAGGCTGAGTGGACAGATTGGGAAAACGTGCATTTATCTCCCTAAGAACTCAGTGCCAGAGTATTCTACATGAGGCAGGCAGGTGTGGCTATGCAGGTATCCCTTAGTGTCCCAATAGCAGCCCAGTGAGAACCAGAGGGACGCATTCCGTCATTCTTTAGCAAATCTGAAAAGAAGAATGTATTCATTTTCTATTACGGTTGTAACAAATTACCATAAAGTCAGTGACTTCAAACAACAGAACTTTATTCTCCAGCAGTTCTTGGAGCTGGAAGTCTGTAAGGAATCTTATGAGGCTAAAATCAACATGTCGATAGGGCTGAATCCTTCTGGAGGCTCCAGGGGAACATCCATTCCTGCCTCTTCAAGCTTCCAGTGGCTGCCAGCATTGCTTGGCTTGTGGCCGCATCACTGTAATGTCTGCTACCATCATCCAATTGACTTCTCCTCTTCTGTAGTCAAATGGCTCTGTGCCTCCCTATTATAAGTATACTTGTGGTTACTTTTAGGGCCCACCCAGATAATCCAGGATAATGCTCCCCTTTCAGAGTTCTTGATGTAATCATATCTTCAAAATTCATTTTGCTATACAAGGTAACGTTTGCAGGTTCCAAGGGTTCACATGCAAATATCTTTGGGTGCCATTACTCAGCCCTCCACATCCAGGTTTGGGGGATGGGATGCCTGCTGAATGGACTTGTTGGGGGTGGCGCTAGTATAGCATAAGCAATTCTTAGGAAGCTTTTCCAGTCTGCAAGAGCTTGCCCCTCTGCCATCTATGGAAGAGCCCATTCAGGCAGCTGAACTGGCCCCATTTCATCTCATAGTCTAGAATCTTTATAAGCCTCGGAATCAAATGCACGAAGGTGACAGTGTTTGCAGCTTAACTCCTAGGAGTGGAGTCAGGAAGGAACACCCCACCTCCATTCGTTCATGCTGTCCATATTAAAATTTCTTTTGTTCCAGACACACGTGGCATGGGACGTGGGTTAAAAGGGGAAACGAGGTTGCTAGCCTACTTCACGAATCAGTGAAGAACGCTGCCAAAGTTAAAGCCGTTGACTCAGAGTTTCTCCCACTGTTGCTTGTCTTCTGAAGTGGAGCTTAATTTGACAGCAATTCTAGGAAGGGGTAAAGAAAAAAATCTGCAAGTTTTCAATGGATGCTCAGAGATGGATCTTTCTTTCTATGTGCATGTGCATGAAGGAGATAGCTTAAGACAGTCTGACTTTGTGGTCAGAGTAGGTATTTAATTATGGGGTTTCCTGTATTTTATGTATGCCTGCAAGAAGAATTCTTTGTAAATCAATGACAGTAGCCATATGAAAAAATTAGTGATTCTTTCAACTGAATTCCCACAAGGTAAAAGAGTCTAGTCTAAACACATTTTCTGAAGTTCTGACATCATTTTTTGACTCTACATCATGTTGAAAACTTAAATGGCTATTAGGACAGTTCAGCCCTTGCTGCCTCACCATAAGCCAAAATATGAGATGACACATTTTAAGGAGTCTCCTAGGATGCAGTTCCCTAAGTCCCAACATTTTCTGTTTCACATCTGGCTCTGGAATGCATTGGTTCCAGTACTTCACCCTAGAGGATCTTTCTGCTAAATATCATAGGTAACAGTGAGCACTGATGATCTCGTTACTCCTTTCTCTCTTCTGTCTAACCCAGAATCCCCTGCAAGGGATTTTTTTTCCCCCAGCACATTCTCTCCGTCTCCCAAAAAGCTAGACCTTACTTCAGCCTGTCTTCTATTTCAGATCTTTCTCCCTTAGCAAAAACTTTTGGGCCTGGGGTATTTACTTACACAATCAAATAGCCTTATTTGGTTAGTACCAGAATCCCACACTGTAGGATTTCTCGGTAGATTTTTTTTTTCCTTGGAATCAGCAGCTTTTAGAATTAAACTATTTGAACAAAGTTAGAATAGGAAAAGCTGAGAGGTGGCATAATCCCTTAGTGGTGTTGACAAAGAAAAAATAGATATTCTTGGTTGAAGAGGAACAATAGATGTTTAGGAAGACTAGCTTCTTGCTAGTCAGATGAACCATCCTGCAATGTATAATTGCCTAGGAAAACAACCTGAGGGGAAATGAATTGGAGAGACCAACTCTACCCCTCCAAACTCCTTGACCTTAACCATGTAATCTCTTCAGAATGGCCCCAGCAGTCCAAAAGGCAAATGGCATGAGCACTTTTCAAATCTATATGCGCATTTTACCTGCCAACAGAGCTATTAGAATTTAATAGGCTCATATCGATGCTCAAGTGTTTTGCAACACCTATTACAAGGGGTGTTTTCAAAACTAACTTTTCCCCAACCAAAAGCAAGGAAAAGCAACCCATAAGAGAAACAGGAAATGAGCTGCACAGGTTTGACTTAAGTGATGTAGGATGGAAGCTCTGAATTGTTGCTGGCGTCATTTAATGGAATTCAGTCTCCGAAAGTCTATTGCCCCGCACAAAGAAAAGCCTGTTCAGGCCTCCTCTGGGCACTATTAAGTCTAAACCTGGATTATGGGGGACACGGATGGAGACACATGCCCTGGTCTCCCAATTTATAGTGACTCCTGGCACCTGGAGGCACCAGCCTTCAACTTCACTCACAGCGTGATCCTGAAGCCAACAATTAATGTTCACACCAACAAGGGAGTTGAGGCTTAGGAAACTGCAACTACTTGCCCAAAGTAAATGGCAAAGTTGGGATTTGAGCACAGGCTGTCTGCCTCCTTTCCTTTGCGAAGGTCTAAAGATAAGTTGGACTGTGCGATCACTGAGGTGCCTGCTGGCTCTGTTTCTCTATGATGCTTACGGTTTAAGAAGTGCTGCTTAATTTTGGTTTAGTTACAATTTCTCCCTCTAGCATTTTTCTTTTCTGTACCATTTCTGCATTCCAAAATGTGCACCCTCTGCCCCTCTGTCTGTCCCTCTCTGTCTCTCTCTCTCTCTTTCTTTCTCCTCATTGGTGACTCCCCTTAGACCTTAAGTGAAGCATTTATGCAGAATTAAGCCCACCATTCACAGGATGGAAAAGAGAGAAGACTTGGTGACTTTTGCTTTTGCCTTCTTGCCCAATGTCTTTGCATCCAGTATCTCTTCTCAACCTCCCAGTGACTCCAAGGGGTGGGTCCTATCGTTATCTTTGTCTCACAGGTGAAGAAACTGACCATTCCAGACACCACGTGACTAATCAATGGCAGAGGCAGGGTTTTAACCCCATTCTCTGTGACTGGCCATCCTCCTCCTTTCATCTCCACTGCTCTGCCTTTCTGGCTCTGAGTAGAGCAGAGTTAGGTGTGCACCCTCCCTGACTTGGCGACCAGATCCTGTCCCAGTGCAGCGTGTTTGTGCCAGGCTCCTCCTGGCCAGCTGCTGTGCCACAAGGTGTTACTTCATTTGGCCGCCCGTCTTCATGGGGAGACCCCAAAGCACATTGGCGCCCTCTGTGCAGTGGGTGTGGCAGTTCCGAACACAGCTATCCCTGACCAGATTGACACAGCCCTTCTGTGAATGTACAACAGACATCACGAGGCTTTGGTTGCATATATTGGACAGAGAGCCAGGGTATCAATTAGTCACGCCCCCAACAGCCCTGGCCACCTCTGCTACATTCGGTGCTTGAGCTGCCCCAAGAATGCAGAAGGACCGGGCTTCCCTCATCCCACCATGAATGACCTCCATGATGCAGGCCAGGCAAACTAAGATGCCACACCGGGGTAGCAGGCCCTGCACTTTCCTCTCCAGCTCAAAGGAAACCCAGAGCATGTTACCTGGGCTGGGTGCCAGGAGGACTGCACGGCCAAGCCTCAAGGTCACAGAGACCTCCAAGGCTCACTTCTGACCTACGTTCAAGTGAAGATCAAGAGGTTAGCTGATGTGACTGGGATGAACAGCAGCTGGCCAAACGACTTGGGATTTATATTTTATTATAAGCTCATACGACCACTCATACAACAAATGAATATTTTTAATACATTTTATGCTTATCTTGTGAATAATTCAATTCCACAGTTGTATCTTTTGTAATAAAAGCACTATATGTTATCAGGGATCAGCAAACTTTTTCTATAAAGGGCTAGTTAGTTAACATATGAGGTTTTATGGGCTGCACACAACCTCTGTAGAATATTGTTTTTCCTTTTTTTTTTTTTTTAAAAAAAAAGTCCTTTTAAAATATAAAAACCATTCTTAGCTCACAGGCTGTACAAAAACAGGCTGTAACACATTTGGCCTGCAAGCCATAGTTTGCCATTCCCTAAATTCAAATATGTAAAATATCTTACAACTTTTGTGATTCTATTCCATGATAGCTTAATTTTTTTTTTTAAATGGTTGCCTCAAAAAATGATGTCCATGGCTAGGGTTGAGTCCACTCTGGCCAGATCCCATGGAAAAGGGCTCATCGTTCATCTTCAATCTGTCTGTCTCCGTCAAGGCTTTACACTCCATGGAAATATAAAGTAATCGGCAGGAGGAAGATTCAGGAAGAAATGCAGCAACATTAAGCTATGAGTTTTCTTACTGCCTTTGGGTGAAGCTTTGGAAATCACTGATTTTTCTGTTTAGGTTTCCCCATCTGTCCAATGGGTATAATAACATGGGCATAGATCCTGGGCAGGAACCAGCAGGTCTCTGCTATTCCTGTGGTCTTGCACATTTCTCCTCAGAAACTACAAGTTCTGAGACTGCTTTCTATGCTGCAGTTTCTTGGGGAAAGCATTGACTATTTCCTCTGGCAACAGTAGGAAATTATTGAGGAGAAGGTGAGTAATACCCGGTCAGCAAACTTCTTCGGAGTCCGAGGAATGGCATCAGCTCTGTGCCTCCTGCACGCCTGGAGCTCTGTGCATTGTGCAGAGGCCTGACGTGACCCTGGGTGACCCGTGACTGCAGCAGGTTCCCCTCTGCACTGACCTCTCTCCTCTCAGCTGAGGGAGGGCATTAGAGCCAGCCTCATCACTGAGGTGGCAAAGAATCCCAGAAGGCCTCGTCCAGCTGCCACGGCTCCTCCAGCCTCCCAGTGGACTCAGAACAGGGCTGCACCCTCAGGAAGGCAGCAAGCCCCCTGCAAAGCAGTGGCCTCTGACCTGGGATGCAGCAGACGTGGGTTCAAGTCCCTGCTCCCCCACTCATCAACGTGTTACCTTGGGAAATGCCTCCATCTCTCTGAACCTCACTGGCTAAAATGAAGGCTTTGAACTAAATAATCTCTAAGATGCTTCTGCCTGTAACTTCCTAAAACCCCTCCCCTGGCCAGCAGATACCCTTAATTCCTATTTCCCAGTGAGAACAAAGGGCAGAAAACGTGACCGTGCCCACATTCTCTGCTCCCTAACCCCCTAAACAATCAGCACCTTCTCTCACAATTCTTTCCCAATTTCATAAAAAGGAAGTGAAATGTAGGTTTTTCTGGGGCTAGGTGCCCCCTTCTGCCCCAATTCTATTCTGTGCTACCTCTCCCAGGATCAGAATCCACCCATTATTTTCTCCCACCCACAACTCCACCCTCCCTCTCTGTCTGCACCCTTTTCTAGTGTGGAAGTGCATCCCAGGGGCCCCATCCTAAAACCACCACCACAGCACACCCTCCCTGACCATTGGCTCTCCCTCAGCTGAGGATCAAGAGCCACCTCCAGCAGGTCTGGTGCATGGCTCTGGACAGCTGTGCCCCCAAAGCCCAGGGTCCCTTCCTCTGCTGTGAGCAGAGGCCTCTGTGCAGAGCCCCTGTGGAGCGTGCTTGTCCCCCCAGCTCACCACACCCATGCAGAGACACATGACCAGAGGGACCTGGTGTCCGTCATTTCTGTCTTGCTCAGAACCTGCCACGGTGCTCCACACACAGTAGACTCAATGCCCTGTGTGCCAAAATATCGGGAAAGAAACAGCACCGGGGAAAGAGGAAGAAACAGTCACTTCTGGGAAGCCACACCCTGCCTAGGCTTAAATGCAGGCTCCAAATGCTCCTGCTTGATTCCCAAAGGAACTGGGCTCTTTAGTTTTCATCTATTGGGAAATCTGTTGCCAACCCAAAATGCAGGACATGATAGAAAGGGAGGCTTAAATTATTCTTTTCTTTTCTGGTCAGTTTCCTCTTTCTCTTCCTTCTTAAAAAAAAAAAAATAGTAATCGGGGGGCACTTGAGAAGCTGGGATTTTAAACCACCCCAGAGGTCAAACAAATTGCATTTTTGCTACAAAGGGCGAGAGGAGGCGGGGGCGGGGGGGCAGATGGTAAATTGGCTGCCAGGAGACCCTTTGGTGACGTCTTTCTCGGGACCCCAGCTGGCAAAACTGCTGCAGTGCGAGGGGCAGCCCCTCCGGTGGGCAGATCCAGTCGCAAGTAGAGAAACAAGGCGTGCCAGCAGGAGCCTCACCAGCCGGGAAATTATTTCCTAATAAAACTACAAAGGGAAGGACGATAACTGGGCACTGCTGACAAGTATTGTTGTCTTGTATCAAAATCTCTTTATAAACCTGTTTGAAGAACAGAGCTCGGCTTCTCTTTGAAGTCCCAGTTCAAAGCCGTTGACTTGCAGGGTTCCCAGCCACTGTGGGGGATGGCAAGGGAAAGAGAAGTCAGAAGGAACTTGGCAAACTCTCTGTGCAAATAAATACCTCGGCACTCTGAGGACAATTTTTGGGTTCGAGTTCCTGTTGAGCTCCTAATTATCAATAACAACTGAGCCCCCGCCTCTGTGCCAGGCACTTCCTGCCAACTATCTTTTGACATTCCCAGAGGCAGGAGCGTGCATCCTTGAAGGTGCTTCTCCTCGAGGGTGGGCACTATGAAGGGAGAGGGAGTGTAGCCCACACCCAGAGCGGGGAGTGGCAGTCCTGACTGAGGATAACCCCCATTCTGGAGCTCCCAGCCACACTGTGTCCCCAACAGCTTGGTGCATCTCATCAGTCCATAACCCTGAGCTCTCTGTATTGGATGCCATGCTCTTCACCTCCCCTCCACATCTGTCTCGTCTCATCTTTATCCACTACCTTCTCCCCAGTCCCTCTCTCCAAAACAGGTTCACTTGCTCATATTTAGTGGTTTTCAAAGTGTGGTCCCTGGTCCAGCAGCAACTGCATCACTTTGGAAGTTGTTGGAAATGCACATTCTCAGGCCCCACTCCGGACCTACTGAGTCAGAATCTCGAGAGAGGATAGGGCAGCCCTGAGATCTGTGTTATCAGAAGTCCTCCAAGGGATTCTGAGGTTTTAGAATCACTGCTCCAAATCCACACTTAACAAAAAAAGCTGGCCTGAAGCTGGTGTTGTTTTTTCTAAGATCACAGTATTGGAGTCAGTAGCCAGTTGTTTATACAGGAATGGGTGTCTCAGCAGTAACAGCACGATTCCAGCACTTAATTCAGCTGAGGTTTAAAAAGATTAATAACTATCATCAGGAGTGTAAGGGGGAAATGTTTTCTTTGAGGAAGGAGGCCTCTGCCTACCCACCCTCCCCTAGCTAGGATGTCTCCTTGTGAACACACTAGGCCTGATAAAAAGGCTCAACGGTTTATTTTACAACACAAGGTCCTTGGCTTTCTGACCCTTGGAACTGTCAACGCTTACCTCTAGAACTAGCTGCGAGATCTCTCACAGGGAATACATGAGACAAAAAATAAAGTGAGTCCTCTTGTCTCTCAAGGAGATAAAAGAAGTTTTCAATGTTTTGTCTTTTGGGTATAAATGCATGTGAAATCCTGTCCACACTTGATAGTTGCTTTTGTGTTCCTTTACGTGCATGTAATTCGGACCATGCCTATCTAATATTAAAAGAACATTCTCTCTTCCATATTGGCTTGAAGGGGAATTGGTTGGCAGGGTTGTTTTGCTTTTCTAATACAAGGGCAAGGGTTGGTCAATACTCCACACAGTTCTTTTGCCTCGTCATCTAAACCAAGTTGGGGAACACTGGCTGAAGGTAACTGTCCTCAAACATCTTTCCTCCCGGATGAACACCTCGCAGACCTCACACCAGTGGGTACACCTAGTATGGGTGTCCTACATACCCAACTTATACAGCTTTTCCCCTCACCCTCCATTTGCCTTCCTCTGTTATGTTTTTCTTCTTTGCCTTTACTGCCACCGGACACATTACATATAGAGATGCAGAGGTGTTTGTTTATTGTCCATTTCCCATATTTAGCATGTCAGCTTCAGGAGCCAGCACTGTGGTCTGTTCATTGCCCTTCCCTCCAAACCCTGAGCTGGCACATTGCAGGCACCTGACCTCTTCCCAGATAAAGTCCCTCTTCTCCCTGCCTGCAAAGCCTACGCCCTTCCCATTCTGGAAGGGCAGCCCCAGACCACCATGTTCTTAATCTCCTCTGAAACAAGACAGCTTGCCAAACCAAAAGCTGCTCAGTGTGAAGAGTGTTCCTCGGGCCTGTGACATTAGAATGCTACCCATCGTAAAGTCATCCGGCCACCAGCTTATTGCATATGTAGCTTTCTGACTCATAAAAATATCACCTTACACGGTAGCTCGTGAACTCGCCGCCGAGGGAGCGGAGGCCGTAGCTTTGGGGCTGCCAGAGAGATGCGGTGGGAAGCAGGAGAAGGCAGGGCATGGAGACGGGTATCTGTCGGCCCCGGCAGGTCTCCCCCTTTGACAGAGAATCCTAGAACCAATGCTCTGCTTCATGCCATGCAAATGAGATGCTGACGAGGTCATTGCATTCTGCCAGATGATTATCTCTGACATTTTATTCATAATAATTATAGAGCCTTTCCACCTTCAAAGTGCTTTGCAAACAATAATTAATTAACACTCATAACATCCCAGTGAGGTAGCTTAGTATTACTAATTTATCTCTACAGCATATTATTATCCATCGTTTCCTCCCTCTCCACAAAAACGGCTCCAGAGCTTCGGTGCACGGCCAGTTCTCCACCTGCCTTATGTGGAGTGAGGCTGTGGATTTTGTTTGTCCCAGTCCCACCATAACCCAACACCTTTTCTTAACTCAAATCTCAGCGTCCCTCCTGCACTCCTTCTCACTCCTTCTTCTTCCTGCCGTATTTGTCCCACCTCCATCTTTGTCTTTTTTTTTTTTTTTAAGACAGAGTCTCGCACTGTTGCCCAGGCTGGAGTATAATCGCACAATCTCGGCTCACTGCAACCTCCATCTCCCAGGTTCAAGTGATTCTCCTGCCTCAGCCTCCCAGGTAGCTGGGATTAGGGGCGCCCGCCACTACACCAGGCTAATTTTTTGTATTTGTAGTAAAGATGGGGGTTTCACCATGTTGACCAGGCTGGTCTCGAACTCCTGACCTTGTGATCCTCCTGCCTTGGCCTCCCAAAGTGCTGGGATTACAGGCGTGAGCCACTGCACCCGGCCGCTTTTTAAAAAATTCTAGCGCAAGACTGTTTTTAAGCCCCTTTCCTCTCCTGTCCTTGGCTCTGTTTCCTTTCCATCTCCACAATTCTATCTCCTGCTTCGCTCACCATTCATCCCCTGGTTATTTGGGTTTTAATGATGCAAATTCGACTTCTCTGAGGGGCGCTTAAAGGAAGGGCCTGATTGAACTCCTCTCTCCTTCCCCACTCCTCATTTTTATCTCCTTTCCTTGTTGGCTCATAGCGCCCCTCCCTTTCTGGCTCTGCACCCCACAGCCCCTCCCTTTGTTCACTCACTGGTCCCACACCCACCCATCACTGAGGACCCACTATGTGCTGGCCTCTGGGCTTAGTGCGAGGGTGGGTGGAGGGCTGGTAAAGATAAATGATGACCCAAGCTTACTCTTCTTTGAGGGGTGCCATAGAAAGATTTGAGAAGCTCTAGGGGATTTCAGAGGCAGCGTTCATTGTAATTCTGACTAAGAGTAGGGAAAGGGGAGGGGTTACAGAAGTCTTCACAAAAGTGAGGACACTTGAAAGACAAGGGGGATTTTGGGCAGAAAAGAGAGGAGCATCCCAGGTGTAGAAAACAGCATGAACAAGGGAAAAGAGAGGAACAGCATGAACTAGGGAATGTGAGTGTGGGCTTGGATCACTCAGATAACCCAGCCTCTGATTTCACCTCGAGCTGTCCCCAAGCAGGTACTCCATTACCACCCATTAGAAGGGAGAGGAGAGAAAATGGGGGGAGAGGAAGAAGGAGAAGGGAGGGGTAAGGCGGAAGGGAGGGGAATGAATGCCACCAGTAGGGAGGGGGCAAAGATTTTACCAGTGATAGAGAGAGAGAGCAGGGACAACCCACATCACATGGCAGGCAGCGTTTCTCTCCAAAAATCCCCCCTCAACACTTTGCCCACCTCTGTCAAAGTCCCTTGCGCACCAACCCCGGGTTATTCTTTTCCTGGGTTCCACAGCCTGCAAGGCCCAAATCCCCAGCCCTGCGAATTTCCCAGGCCCACTCCACTCCTCCTTTTCTAGGGCGTCCTCTCATTCTGTCACACCCACTGCCTTCTGGGGTGCAGGTGCCCCACAAACAAAAAGAGCCCCAGGCACCAGGATCTTAGCACTCTGGGAGCAGTCATCATCGGTATCAAATAATTTCTTCCTACCACAAATAACTTTTCAAGTCCTATTTGTGGAATTACAAATAGCCTGGTGTGGTTTTGTGTGTGTGTGTATGTGTGTGCCTGTGTGTGTGTGTGTGTGTGTGTGTGTGTGCCAGGAGAGTGAACCCTAAGTATCATGCTAAGCAGTTTGGACTGGTTTCTTGTTCGTTTCCTGGGGTCGCTGTAAGAAGGTAACACAGACTGACTGGCCTAAAGGAACAGAAATTGAGTGTCTCACAGTTCTGGAGGCTCAAAGTCCAAAATCAAGATGTAGGCAGGGCTGGCCCCTTTGGAGGGTTCTGCAGGATACTCTGGTCCATGTCTCTGGCTTCTACTGGCAGCCAGTGACTCGTATGATTCCTTGGCTTGGAGATGCATCACCCCAATCTCTGCCTCCACCTTCCTGTGGCCTCTCCCCGGGCCTGTGTCTTCACATGGCCTTCCTCCTATAAGGACCTTCCTATTGGATCAGAGTCCCACCCTCCCTGATAGGACCTCATCTTCACTGATTGCATCGGCAAAGACTATTTCCAAATAAGGCCACATGCTGAGCTACTCGGG
Organism: Homo sapiens; assembly: GCF_000001405.40. NCBI lineage: Eukaryota > Metazoa > Chordata > Mammalia > Primates > Hominidae > Homo > Homo sapiens. The sequence goes on from NC_000006.12 coordinate 14,626,881, forward strand.
GTTAGGACTTCAATGCATCTTTTGCCGGGGCAATGTTCAACCCGTGTAACAAGGATCACTGCCAGGTTTCTAAGTAAGTCAGGGAGTTGACTGACTAGATCCACTGCTCGTCAGGAAGGCATCTGCAGCAGCAGCAGTGTGGAGACAGATGGGATGTCAGAGAGACTGGACGGAGACCACCAAGAGGGCTGTGGGGGCTGCTTTAGTTTCCTCAAAAGCATCTGCATGAATTCAACACCCCTACCCAAACCAATCTTATCTCCTTTCATCTCATCTCGCACATGTCATATTCCAGCACAATTCTAAACATCTTAACAGTAATAGCAACAGTTAATATGTATTGCGTGCTTACTGTATTCTAGGTGCCACGCCAAGCCCCTCAGGAACAGCGTCCCATGTAATCCCCATCATTACTTTTTGGAGTAGACGTTTAGTTAATAAACACAGCATCAACTCTGTGCCAGATGTCATTCTAAGTGCTTTTAAAAGATAAATTCATTGAATCCTCATAACAGCCCAGTGAGATGATACTATCAACATCCTGGTTTGAGAGATATGATAACAAAGTTTAAATAACTTGTCAGAGCTGGACTTCAAACCGAGGCAGTGAGGTCTTCAAGTCTGCCCAGCCCACAGAAGCACTATTGTGCCTCCATAAACAGCAATAGACGGCCCTTGGAAGGGTAGGTTTCAGGGCATAGAAATGAATCTCTGCTCATAAAAGAAATAGAACGGGGATGGGGGGCATGGATGAATGGCAATGCTTGGGGAAAGATCTGTGTGTGATGCTCACTCTTTCTCCCCATTAGGGCTATGAGATAAGAGCAGAGATTCTCAAAACAACAGAATGGTCAAGCACACAGAGATGATGTGCCACAGATGGCCGAGCTGCCCCTGGGGTCTGGGAAGGAGACAGGTGATGCTAACTCTCATGCTCCCAGGGAGCTGGGAGAGCAGGGGGCTTCTGAGACAGGCAGAAGCTGTTCCTCTTCTGCAGGCACAGTCCCAGGCGGGGCTCGGCCTCTGGACTCAAACCCATCTTCCGCACAGGTGCCAGGGTGATCCTGTGGGAACACCCATCTGATTATGTCACCATCCCTCAGCCGCCACCAAGAATACTCAATGGTTCCCATCACCTACCAGATAAAATCTAAACCAGGCTGATCCCTCCCCTCTACTCGCCATCCCACCTAATGTTCTAAACTCTAGCCATGCTGTCCAGATGCACCCAGGGTGCTCTGCTGGCTGGGTGTGTGAGCAGGTGGATGTAAGTGTGAAAGCACACATATGTGTGTATGTGTGTGCTCATCTTTCCCTTGCTCCCTTCCGACCGCCCCAGTCCCACCCTCTGTTTCCACACCCCCTCCACCTCTTTCCTGCCAGCCCATCCTTTGGGTCTCAGTCACTTGGCACCTGCCAGTGAAGCCCTCCATGACTGTCCCCAAGCTGACTTAGATCTACCTCCATCTTTGCTCCTGGCACCCTTGGGGCCAAATTCTATGGCTTGTGAGTCATGATAAAATACACATGGCATAAAACTAACCATCGTAGCTGTTGTTGAGTATGCAGTTCTCTAAGATAAGTACATTCCCATCATTATGCCATCTCCAGAACTCTTTGCATCTTGCCACATGGAAACTCTGCACCCACCAAACTCTAACCCCCAGTGCCCCCTTCCCCCAGCCCCTGGAAACCACCAGTCTACTTTCTATCTCTAGGAATTTGACTATATCTCCACCACCTCCCCTTTTAAATTGTGTCAGAGTTGTGTCATGGGTATAATATCAGAGTACACTTTTCCATATTATTTTTATTTTAAACAATCTTAGATCCCACTCTGATCTCCCAACCTTCTGGGGCAGCAGACATCCCTGCACCATCATTAACAAGCCTACTGGCCCAGGGGAACTGTGCAGATCACCAAAGAGCTGGAAAGCCCCCTCCACTCGCTGGCCATTGTCAGTCCTTTCTGGTCCCCAGAGTCCGGCATGGTCCCAGCCCACATGGGCCTCAGGGCCAGTGGCCTCTCTGCCTCAGGTTCACGTCTAGGGAGTCTGGGGTGAAGCTGGAACCCCCAGTGCCTCCCCAGCCTCTCCAGGGCTGCTACACCCACACCTTTGAGACCTTTCCAAGAGGCCTCACCTTTCTGTCCTCCTCCCTCCCTTCCTTGGTCACCCTCAAAGCCTTCATGCTCAGCCTCGTGCCCCGGGAGTCACCTCTCTTGCATCCTGCTGCCCTCAGAGCCTGCTGACATCATTTTTTTCAAAGAGCTTGGGACTTCTACAAAAGCCTTTGACTTCAAGCAGCTTGTTTTCAGCCCTGAAAATATCCTGAAGCAAGGACAGGCAAAGGGCCTGTCTACCTGTTGGTCACGGGGAACGTAAAAATAGAGCAAATTACAAAACAATAACTCAAAAGATTATTCTGCCATATTGATACGTTTTTATACTCTTCTCCCTACTGGACTGGAAATAGCTTTAGAAATGAGTGGTGTCTCTGCTTTATCTCTCTAACACCTCTACAATCAAGTAGCTTCTCAGTAAATGTGACAGATGTGTACGAACAAATGCATGAATTAATGTAACTCAGGATTTTTCAGCCACAGACGTCTCCCCTTTCATACGTACACAGATACACAGAGGACCCACTCCTGAGCTCAGGCAGGAAATATTGGAAGCGTAATCCTACTAACTATAATATTTATTTTATACTTAGATTTTCCTGACTAAAAAAGTATACACAATTCCAGAATTTACAATAATAGAAGAATCTACTTTATTTCAATATCTTAGTTTGTGGGGAGAAAGAAAAGGCAGAGATACCCTATGGTCTTCTTGCTCTGCAAGGCAGCCTAAACTCACTGCTCCCATGACACGGCTTAGAATTAGTTCTCTGCAACCTGGAAGTAACCTGGAAATGGGAGCAGAACTCACATGTTATTCCTATGGGGCCATGCTCCGGGAAAGAGTAATAAGAGAGAGAGGAGAGAATGAATTCATAAGTAAAGGATTTCACGTCCAGCTTGGGAGAAAAAGCCACAGAAGCACAAGGGCACCAGGCTACACCACAGCCAATGAAGACCTGCTGTTTGATGTGCCCAGCTGGGAGACTGGGAAGCCACAGTGTCCTGGGAACCTGGGCCAGTTCTGATAGAAAGAAAGCTCCACCGTGCTGCTGGGCTCCGTGGAGAAACTCAGCTCCTGCAGCGGAGCAGCGTCCAGACGGGACTCTCCAGCCAGCCATCTGTAATGGCCAGCCCTAATAACTGACCCCTGATTCATCTTCTCCTATTCACTTCAAAGGACACCCCATGAGAGAAAGAGACAAAAGGCCGTCGAGGGGACTTGGGGGAAGGGAGGGAACTGGCTAAATAATTAGCCCTGCAACCTTCAAAGTCCTCTATAATCATTAATTAATCCACCCAACTGGGATCGGTGGGCAGATGGGCGCTCACCGCCGGCCCTGACACGCCCACTGCTAAATGGAGCCTGGGGGTTGAGCAAATGCACACAGGAGCAGAGGGGCCACCTGAGGGGAGAGGGACCAAGCCCCCAGGGCTCTGGCTTTGAGATTTGCCGTGAATAAAAATCTACGGATAACCTGAGTGAGGTGGCACAAAGGAATCAGGAAGCTTTTGAGAGAGAATCCACCCTAAGGCTGGGGGAAATAGAAGCAGTGGGTGGGCTTCTACTCCAAAGGCCAGGTATTAAAGGGTCAGGGTTCTGAAACTGCAAAGAGACTGCCCCCATATGAGTATATCTGAACCCTTGCCGTGGGTAACCCCTCCTGAGAACTGCCTCCTGAGACCATGAAGACCACTGCCCGGATCCCACCAGCAGAGGTAACGGCAGCAGCTACTGCCCTGAGCAGAATCCCTGAAGCCACCCAGGGCAGATGTGCGGGATGGGGGACCCATGTTCAAATCGCAGGGCTTCGAAGACCCACTGCATGCTTTACTATGGATCCCATCACTGTGAACTTGGCCGTCTGGGGAGATATAAAATTGTTCCGTCTACACCTTTTTGACTAGGTCTCCCATCCACCAATGTACGGTTTGTGCAATACGATAAACTAAAATAAGGATGCAGTTTAAGATTTATTACCCAAAAATGAGCTCACACTTCTCAATTCTTTATTTCTATCAATGCTTAGGAAGGAAAATGAGCGGTGAGATCAAGATGTCACCGGGGAGACAAACCACTGATTTCTCAAGATGCACAAGTGGTTGGTTATCCACCCCAGCAAATTCACAGAAATGCCTGACCCTGGGGCATGCATTTCCCAAACTCAATTTCAATGTCTTAAAACTGTTTGGACTTGAGGATAGTGAGCCATGCTAGCAAAACTTATAAGAAACTGATATGTTAACAACACAATGAATTAACATTACGATTATGATCACGGCTGAAGACTTACTGTGGGTCAGGCATTCAGCAGGACACTTTTCTGCATTATGTGTGCTTTTCCTTGTTTCTCATGCCTACCCATACCTATGAGATGGTGACTCTTCTCATCCTCATTTTTCAGAAGTGGAAGCTGAGCTCCAGGTCTCACATATTGTAAATGGCAGAGCCATTTTTCAAACTCAGGAACCACTTCTCCATTTACGTTTTGGCCATTCCTCTCTGTTGCCAAGACAAGCATAAGTGCCAAGCCATCAAGAAAAGCCCTGTCCTATGCTTTCTCTGCACAGGCAGATTTTCGGAAGGGTGCTCACTGAGGCTGGAATCCAAACGCGGGGAGCACTGTGATGTGAGTCTCTCAGGGCCTCCCTCGGTGGCTGGATGTACCTGCCAGGCTATCCCTCTCAGAGCACCTTCCCTCTGAAGCCCAGGGGGTCCTGTCCAGGCTGCTTTGGGATGCTCCCTGTTCTGTTTTCCTGATGCAGGCTGGAAAACCCCCAACATAGCCATGTGCAACCCTTAAGTTCCACTAGGTGCTGGCCTTCTGTCTCTTTGAGAAGACTTTGAAAATCTGTGTTCTAATCTAATCTGTGCTCAAAAGGTGGGAGATAATGGATGATTCCACTTATATGAGGTCCATAGCAATAGACCAATTCATACAGAGATAGAACAGAATAGAGGTTACCAGAGACTGAGAGGTGACGGGAATAGGGACTTGTTGTTTAATGGGTACAGAGTTTCTATTGGGGATGATGAAAAAGTTATAGATAGATAGATAGATAGATAGATAGATAGATAGATAGATAGACAGACAGACAGCGGTGATGGTTACCCAGCATTGTGAATGGATTTAATGCTACTGAACTGTGCCTTTATGAATGCTTATGAATGCTTAAAATGATACATCTTATGATATTTTTACCATAATAAAAAGATAAATAAATAACATCTGATATATGCTGCAACATAGATATACCTTAAAGACATCACGCTAGGTGAAATAAGCCAGACACAGAAGGACAAATACTGTGTGACTGCACTTATGTGAGATACCTAGAGTGGTCATATATTTCTAGAGACAGAACGTGGAATGGTGGTTTCCAGGGGCTGGGGGAAGAAGAGAATGAGGAGTTGGTGTTTCATAGGTATGGAGTTTCAGTTAGGGATGATGAAAAAATACCCAGAGCTGGATGGTGGTGATGGTTGCACAAGGTTATGAATGCGCTCAATGTCACTGAAATGTACATTTTAAATGGTTAGAATGGTAAATTTTATGTTATGTATATTTTACTCCAATGAACAATTTTTAATAAATGAGGAAGAAGGTATTTTGCCCCACACACCCTCTAAAAAGAGTCTCCTTTGTAACGGGGGCTCAGGAGTCCCAAAGCTGAGACACGGCGAGTCCCCTCCACAGGCCTCCAGCTGCTGGAGGGGTACCTCACAATTCTGAGGATGTAACTAGGCAGGACACAGAGCTGAGGAGGGGTAGGTTCTTGTGGGGCTTCCAGATGCCTCCCAGTGTCTCCACAGGATTGGCTGTGTGTGGCGTCCCTCTGCCCAGGGCTACTACCTCTGTTTTCCTGGCTCAGCCAGCGAGCTAAGGAGCTGTGTCATTGGTGGCTGTTGGGGTCCTGCTCTGGGCTACCTGACAGCTCCAGAAGTGTCCATTTGCTTCCATTACCAATATCCCTGCTTTTAGAAAACTCAATATTCCTGATGCTCAATTCACAAACAGAGAAGTCATGATTGCGATACTCCAGGGTTTCGAAAAAAAATCAGACATATTGATAAAGATATAACAATACATATTTTTTAAATGTCCACATTCCATTTCTCAAGAGCATGCATTTCTCATAAAGTAAGATGCACTGACACTTCTCCCAGGGCTCCAAGGACAATACTCACTGCCACTTTTCCAGCCCAGAGCACTCAGCAGGCCACCTTCACATCCCTCCCTCTACTGGGTGACTTGCAGACTCTGAGCCTCCTCCAGGACCTTTGGAACTACCTGGCTTCCCCCTCTGGGAGCAGCTCTCAAAGCAGGGTCCCCCAGCCCTTTCTAGAAGAGGACCTTTCTCAAAACCCTGTTGAGAAAACAGCCAGTCCCCGGGAGGCCTGCTGTCCTCTCAGCAGTCAGCACAGGTGAACAGGGACTGCAGCAGGTGTCTGCGTGACTTTGTCATTGACAAGCACATCCAGCAGTGCCTTGAGACCTGCTCAGAAAGTTATCTGCTGATACCATCCCTGTGGACACCTCCAGGAGCTGCCAGGGGATACTCAGCCCCAGCCACGTCCAAGTGCAGCCAGAAGCCTGCCCAGGCCAGTGCGTTGGAGTTGTGAGTGATCCTGCTTCCTGACAAGGGCCAGCTGGGCTCCCCCAGCCTCCTGGTCTCCAGACTCCCTGGGCTCAGCCTCCTGTGGCACTCCTGAGCTTCAGAGAGGGCTGGTTCTGTGACTGGAGCTGTCAGCTGCAGAGATACTGCAGAGACACCTTTTAAAATTCATGGCCTTACTCTTCAGAGTTCAGAAACAGATCAGACTCCAAGATGAAAGCGTGGTTTACCCTTTCCCTGGTCCTGCCAGCCCCTTCCCATCTCCCATTCCACCCTCCTTTCCATGTCTCCTTCCCGCAGCTTTCCTTCCCCATTGTCCTCCAGGATATTTTGCATTTATCCTAGTTCTTAATCCACCTGCTTTCATCAACCAAAGCCAAAAGAACACTCCTTTGTTTCCAAAAAGAACATTCGCTCAGCTCGCAATGCAGGCCTGACTCTCAAAGGTATCTCCCTTTGTCAGGTAGGAAGGGCCACGAAAGGTGTGGCTGGGCAAAGGAGATAGAGCAGAGTTTTGAACTGAAAAGGAGGTGGGCGGCAAGGGGTGCAGTTCTCCTTTTTTTTCCAAGAAAGGCATTTGCTGAAGGGCCATCCACCTGAGTCGGGGGGGTGGGGGCGATCCAGGGGCGGGGCAGACAGGCTGGCAGCAGCAGCACATCCTGCCAAGATGAAAGAGCGATGTGTTTGCTTCTTGCCGCGAGTATAAGCAACAACAGAGATCCTCTCAGGAGAATTCCATCCCCAGACATCTCCTTGCAGCATCTCCCCTGTTGGGCCTTTACTAAGAGGCAGCACCTAGTGTCCTCACTGATGTGGGCACCAGGAAAGCTCGCTCTCCTCCCAGACACAGGCTGCCACACTCAAGGCACAGAGACTCTTCGCAGCCACAAGAAGTAAATGGAAGAGAAGCAAAGCCTGCTGACTTCAGGGGCATGGACCCAGTGGCCAGGATGACATGTCCAAGCCACAGAGGGAGAGTCTGCCCTGGGAATGAATGATTCCTTTTGGAAGGAATGATGGATAACACTTATCAAGAATTTATCTGTACCTGACACAGTTCTAAATTCTTCACCTATATCAGCTCACTTAACCCACAAAGCAACCTTATGTAGTACATCTCATTAGCCCCACGGTTAATCTGATGCACCAACTTAGCTAGGCCATGGGACCCAGATATTTGGTCAAACACCAGTGTAGGTATTGCTGTGCAGGTAATTTTTAGATGAGATTAACATTTACATCCGTAGTCTTTGAGCAAAGCAGGTTACCCTGAATAATGTGGGTGGGCCTCATCCAGTCAGTGGAAGGCCTTAAGAGAAATGACTGAGGTCCCCTGGGGAAGAGAGAACCTGCTTCAGAATACCTTCCCACTGGAACGCCATCAACTCCTCCCTGGGTCTCCAGCCTGCCCTGAACGTTTTGGACTTGCTAGTCTCCACAATCGCTTGAGCCAGTTTCTTAAAATAAATCTTCTTCTCCTCCTTCTCCTTCTCTAGTTCTTCTTTTTCTTTTCTCTTCTCGTCTCTTTTCTCTTCTCTTCTTCTTTTTTCTCTCCCTCTCTCATTCTCTCTCTCCACCCCACCCCCCACCCCCAACCTGTTGGTTCTGTTTCTCTGGAGAATCCTAATACACCTTACCTTACAGATGAGGAAACTGAGGTGCAAAGCAGTCAGCTGTTTTGCCCAAGATCTTGAGGCCAGTGAGTGTCCCAGGCAGGACTAGAATGCATGCTGCCTGGCCCCAGACCTGGCTCAGGTAACCAGACAGCCTGCTGCTTCCCTCAGCCACAGGAAGTGGCTCAGCCACAGGAAGTCACGGCTACCTCTCCATTCACAAACCAAAGAAGGTAGGAGGTGGAAGGAAAATGCATTAAAAGTAAAATTCAGCTGGGTCAATGGACAAGGACAGGATATAGACTATAAAACCAATGATATTTGTTTTCATTCTAGGCTTTATTTTGATATCTGTGACCTTAAGTGTGATTTACATCTCTCTGAGCCTCCATTTTCCTGATATGCAAAATACCATAAAAACTTTGCAAGGCTACTGAGGGATTAAATGGGATAATTTTATGTGCAAATAATATTTCCCAGGATATGAGTGAAATCACGTGGCTTGTGTGATTAAGACAACTGTTCCAAATTCTAGTGGCCTAAGTCCCCACTTGCTTGACTTACAAGAGATCCAGGTATTTACAGAAATAAATAACTCTCTCCAATAAGTTTCAGGTCCTCAAAGCTGCCAACCTGTGCCCCTGCTGCCCGTGTTCTCATCCCAGGGGTGGGGTCCCAACCATCTGAGTCCTCAGGGCCAGACAGTATAGCAGTCCCTTTCACGGAGCTCTCATCCACCTTGAGTTCCAATTGCTGATCAAAGCAATGCCCAGAGCAAAGCTGCACCCCCAGCAGGTGAAGGCTGGGCTACAAAGTGGGGTTCACTGCCCAGACCCTCCCCCTCTGGGCCAGCTAAGCATATCAGAACCCCTCTTGCTCATAGTGATGACTCACCAGGACCTCCCCTCCCTGTTCCCCATCGCTACCCACCCATCCATCAGATCTGTCACTGTACCCAAAGCCTAATGGTGAATGGGACTCGTGTGTTTCTCTCTCAGAGGGCTTCTCCACCCCCATGGAAATAAACATGTACAAAAGGACGTGAAGAAGAAAGAAGCTTCACCAGTAACATCTCTGTACAGATCCTACCAGGCTGAAAGAACAAAAAGCCTAGCTGTGGGGTGGTTGTTTTGCTTTTTGGTTTTGTTTTCACTGTGGTTTGTGTCACATGTTAAAGATGTCCCATGTGTCAGGAACAATCGCAAAGTACTTGACCTGCTTTATCTCATTCAGTCGTTCCAATGCCTCTGTTGTTGTGTCATTAGTGTTTCCATTTTATGGATGAAGAAAGCTGAGGCTTAAAGAAGAGAAGTAACATTTCACTGCCTCACAAATAGTGACAGAGCCAACATACAAACCTAGGCTTGTCTGGCCCCAGAGCCCTCATCCTTAACCACCACACTGCACCTTTGTAAAGGGCACAACTATTTGTGTCTAACAAATATTAGTTATCTTTTCTAAGAGCCAAGAGACATTTGTTCTATCCCAACTCTGTCTCTTAGAAGTCAAATGGCTCAGCTTCCACATTTGTAAAAAAGAGAGAACTAAAGTAGAAAATTCTAATTGTTTCCTGAAGCTCTAAAAAGCTACAATCCTAAGAATTAGTGGCCAGAGACCCTAAGCTGCTTAATACATTTATACCACATCCTCCTCAGCTGGTACTCGGCATTGAGGAAAATTCTTAGAAACAGAAATAAACAAAAATATTAAGCATAAGCCGTCATCAGATTTACATGTTATGCTGCAAAATTTATTGTTCTGTTCCTTTTCCTTTAAATGGGAACATTTAGGTCAAGGATATATCGTCATAATATCTCTGAGATGGGAGCTATGAGTGACTGGGCAAACAGATTTCCGATTCTAAGAATCTTCTCTGAAATCAGATGCTTGATAATGTGAATATTAAAATTCCCCCTTCACCCAATAACAATGTGGAAAAACATCTGTCCTTTTTGTTTTAAAATAAACATTGAGAATCTCTCTTTTAAAAATGGTAGAAATAATCATGAAACTAAGTATAACCACAAGAAAAAGTATTTGAGAAGAACTGAAAGACTAAGGGAGAAACTTGATATAATGTCCATCTCCTTGTACTTATCCTCTTCCTTTTAGCTTAATGCCACCTCCTTCATGAACACAGAATTGGAACCCACAACGGATGAGGTCTTGGCCTCACGTATGGGTAAAGCCTCATGTAAAAATAAACAGAGAGGAAATGCTGACGATGCCTGTCACTCCACTCGGATCAATTCACTTCAACATGCTCATTGCTCCATTTCATTTCCTACACCTTGGCCTTGCACACTCTTGCCATGCAAGGGCCGACTCCCAATAGGGAGTTGATTGTTTTGTTTAGGAATTCCAGAGCACCAATCAGATGGGGGGTCCTCATTCTACTCCAGCACACACACTCCACAAATATCTCTCTCCTCTCTCTTATTTTTCATTTTTAACCATTTAAATTCATGTTTATTTTTATGTATTGCTAATGTATGACATAGAGTTCCAGAGGGACTGTCAACTTCCTAAAAAGAATACACCTTCATTAACTCTCTCTACAAAGATGTACCATGTGCCTACTATGCCAGCAGGTGTCTGTACAGAAACAAAAAGGCACAATTACCACCCTAAGGAACCTCCTGTAGGATTCAATGCGGAGGCCACCTCCTCCAGGATGCCCTCCCTAGTACCTGGGTCAGAGTCCTGTGGCATTGGGTATTGGAGTCCATGATTCACCTTCCCTGCAGTGTGATTGTTGGTTTACTTAGGAGGCCCTCATTGCTTCCTTCCCATCCAGTGGGAGACATTCAAATAGGATGCAACTCACAGCTCCCTTAGCCAGAATTGCAGTAATGATGATAATGGTAATGATGTTAATAATCCTATCCATGAAAAACAGGTAACTCCTTTTTAAAGAAGGATTTCTTGCTTATCACCTTCGGTCCTGAATCCCTGGATATACCTGGGTGCAGGCTTCTTGGGGCTCAACACATGTCTGGGAGGATGCCAAGATGGCAGAATGATGTCAGTTTCTCACGGGGTGCTGCTCCCTTAGATCTGTACCATGCTGCCTAATATACGTCAGTTGCATTGAAATGAAAAATGAATAGGAAGTAGATCTTGCTGCTAAAACATATGCATCAGAAAATCATTATGAGTATTAAATTACTGCAATAAAATGAACCAGAACTAATCTTGCAAATTAAGATCCAATAAATTTTTTTTCATGGCCACACCTTTTCTTAAAAAAAAAAAAAAAAGAAAGCAAAAGAAGATTTAGCTTAATAGTATTAAAATTGACTGTAAGGATTTTGAGCGTGACATGGAAAGAGTCGATCAAGAAATTTCCATATGACAAATAGATTTGCATTTTTGGAGGGTGGGGTTGGAGGTTGTCAGGAAGATGTTGAGAATACTGCCCCTGTGCCAATTGGTAAAATGATCAGTTTTTAAGCTGACATACCTATGTATTTTACATGTAAAATTTATGTATACATATTCCCCTTCCTCTTTTCTGCTCCCCACAAATCCCCCAACTTCCCACTCCTTAGATAAGGTTCTGCTGACACAAGAAACTAGTAAATTTCTAAATTTCTGACAACCTCGTATTTTTAGAAGAGATGCTGCTGTCGTTCAAATTAAATCTGAAGCTGTAAATAAACCTTTAGAGCTTTGCCTGTTCACTGGAATAACAGGATATCTCCCTCCACCCTCCAGCAGGAGAGAGACTGTAATTAGCTCATTGTCCGTGAATAGGCACAAAAGAGGCGGTGCTCCCCATACTGGCTCCCTTTCAACAGCAGATCTTGGGGCAGATGTTAATTCATTAAGTGAGTAACTTCCACCATCTCCCAGGAACACCAGGGAGCCCGACTCCCCGTTCCAAAAGGGACACTGAGGAACAACATGAAATACTCTGGCCAAGGACTCACAGAAAGGGTACTCGGAGAAGAAAAAAAACCACCACCAGGATTCACCTCCCTGCTGCAGCCTGCTTCCTGGCGCTGGTTTTGGCAGCCCATCCCGGGGCTGCTCTGTGACACCCGGGGAACCAAACTATTTATAGCCACGCAGTCATTATAAACAAAGCTGTTTATAACATCGAACCTTGGCCCTGCATGAGTTAAAACTCTAGACTGGCAGCTATAAATAACTCTGTTATGCGCTCGAGTGTGACTATTGACTGATACTTCCTCAAATTGTGACAAATAATGACAAGTTTGTTTGACAAACATCCCACTGACATTCATCTGATTTTGAATAAGTGGTGCTGCTTTCTTAATTTGGTCCCTGAGGCCCAGGACTTCAGGAACTTTCTTTATTCTTTCTCTCTCTCACCTCCCGCATCAGGAAACTGTCCTGTGTGTAGTTGTTTTTTCCCCTAATCAACTGGAAGGGATTTGGGGCCATCTAAGGGGAAGCTTATTAAATCCACTGTTTCTCTCTTGGGATAATTCTGCTGTAGGGGCTTTGCAAGGGTCTGGGGAGTTTTGTTAATGACAGAAGGAGGGAGGGGTAGAAAAATGTGGGCCAGGCTGTGGTGGTAGGTAACACAAGGTGGAAAGGGGAAAGCAGAATTTAACATCAGACTGACTGGAATGTCAGTGTTTAAGGGGGACCAGAAATGTAGAAATTTGAGAAGTAGTTCACACTGAATCGATGAAAGACAAGATTCTGGATGGAGGGATTTACCCCCCAGGGCTTCTGGTCTGAGAGATCTTGTAGATCCAAGATTGGGGTCCCCAAGGCTCGGGTTCTCTTTCGAGGCCAGCTGATATTAACATACGTCATGAGTGACGTGAGATTCTAGAGCTCTCAGGGACCTATGAAATGGTCTGTTACTCGGTCATTTCACAGGTCAAAAAGCTGAGGCCACAGGGGCTCCCAGGACTCTTTAGAGCAGAGCTAGACTAGAACTCAGCTGTCTGGACTCCTGGCTAGAAGCTTTATCTTTCATCAGGAAATTAATTAACATGTGAAAAGCATGTGGAATTGTCCCTGGCCTGTGTTGACTGTTTTACAGGAGCACACCATTCACACCATCCAGGTTGCACATCTTTTCTGTCTCTATTAACTCTATTTGCACGGTCTCACACAGCGCCCACCGTCTCCAATCCCTCCTATGCAGAGCTTTCGCAGCAATCTTGCGAATATGCAAAACTGCTGCTCACTGGTCAGCCCACTCCCAGACCAAGCTGGGAGCGCAGTAAGAAGACCTGACTCAGGATCCTGCAAAGGCAGAGGTGGCACCTGAGAGCAAGTCTCCTTAAGTTTTGTGCCCTAGGCCCCTCACGTGACTCACCCTAGTCCCACCCACACTTACCCAAATAAACATCTCCCAACTGGTTTGCATGTCTGCAAAAATTACTGCAGACATCTCACCCTTGCTGACAAAGTCCTCAATCCCTGGTCCCTCCCACTTCTCCTGCCCAAATCTATGCTTTACCCCAAAGTGTACTCTTCACTCCTTCCCAGAACACACAGCCTCGGATGTTTCCCATTCCCTTTGATAAGAATGCCCCCTTTACATGACAAAACCCTGACCATCTTTCCTGACCCATTGCAGATGCCCAAGGAAGCCCTTGTTGACTGATCTGGCAGCTGTGATGTGCTTTCCTTGGAAGCCCCATCACCCTTATTTATATGTCTCTTTCAGCGCTGGCCTGTCTTAATCCTGCCTTACAGTTATTTGTGAATGTGCTTATGTTTAATCCTCTTTTCTAGTGGTAAGAGGGAGATCTTTCTTAATCATTTTGGTATCTTCTAGCACAGTGTATACCTAGAAAAGGGTGAATGAAGTCTTTTAAATCTACTTCCTAAAAGTGCAAGCAAAAACACAGAATGAAACAAACCGGAAAATCTTCAAAAGTAATAAAGGACCGTATCAACTAAGAAAGATTTGGCCAATGTGTAAATAGGTAGCAAAACCTAAAATGGCCCAGCCAGATAAGTGCATGCGTCCTTAGAACCAGCAACTGACACAGAAACTGGCAAACTAGTAAGACAACTGGAAAGAAAGAAGCCAAATAACTGGCAATTAAACAAGCTGGAGGATCACAGGGGCAAGTGTCTAACCCACTGCCAGTCAGCCAGCCAACAAACGTTTATTTAGAGCCTGCAAGCACATGGCACAGAGCTGCCTGTTAAAGAAGAGATGTTTTCCTGGCCTTCGGGAATTGACAATCAGCTCCACTTTCTACAATTTCCCTGCCATTTCAGCTTTTACTAAGACCTGTGGAACTCCAAGTCTCTTGTTGGTTCCCAAATTCTTAACAATGAGCGAATTTGCCAGGCTTTGCCCAGCCTCCCCAGAGAGTCCATATCCGTTTGTGTGTGTGTGTGTGTGCGTATGTGTGTGTGTGTATATCAGCCCTGGCTTATCAGCCCCCTGTGACCTGTCAGGGCTCTTGGCCCTTCGATGGCCTTGCGACACTCCATGGACTCATGACAGAACTCACTACATCAGAACTAACCCATCCCGGAGAAGAAGCAGATGAGAAAACAGCAGCTGACAAGCGAACCACCAAAGAGGAAAAACCAAATTAAACACTCCTTAAGAAGCCAAGTCCTCTTTCTTCCTCAAAAATGACACGGGAAGGAAGGCGCGGGACAGGAGAGGGGCTCCAGGTCCCTTTGCGCTGTTCCATATTAACACAGTCACACTTTGCGATGCACTTGTCACTTCCAATCAACACCAGGGCTTTCCAGGGCCTGGACACTCATTGAAGGGATTGTTACTGTTGGTGAATGGGGAATTAATTAATGCAAAGCCAACCAGTTCATAAATGCCTGCTTTGTGAGCAGTTCCTGCATCCTGGGGACCGCGACTCCTGTGGTCAGCGCAGCCCCAGGACTCCGTGTCAGCAAATGATATTTATGATCGCCATCGGCCCCTTCTTCAAACCACCCAGGGGGAAGCGAGGCCTCACCTGGAGCCTGGGCTTTTCCCGCTGTGGGCACAGCCAAGGGTCCTCCGGTTTCTCTGGTGCTGAGCAGGCAGTGCAGAAAAACTCTCTCCAGTCTTCTGAATCTCTCGCCCACAACCTGACTTACTTCGTGAAGAAAGGCTTCATTTGCAAGTCATAGTGATGGGAACAGGCAGGAAAACAGAGAAGTTTTTCTCAACCCACTCCATTCCAAATTTGGTTACTTGACCTCTAGGCAGGTACAAGAATGTGCACACACACACACACGCACACAATCACACACACACACTCAAACAGTGCCACGTATATGCACAGAATTTCTCTGATCTGTGTTACCTACACAGTCGTCAACTAATTTAAAAATCAGTTCTGATTTGAATGTGGCAAATGGACTCTTCAGGTAACCTAGTTACTAAGAATATAAGATGGAAAAAGTGGTAACCGAACATGCCAAGCCCCCTCCATCATATAGACACACACATCTCATTGAGAGTATACAATGTAGTTTTACTCCCCCTCCAAAAAAAAAACTGGTCCCAAGTTCTGCTGACATAACATGCCCAGGCCCTGCCTCTGTTTTTGCTGTGGTGGCTTTGCTACCTCCTCGCTTTAAACTGCCATGATGCAGGCCTGAAAACTCCCTTTTGCCTTTAAAACATAATGCACTATGATATTAAAGATGGTGGAATTGAGGATGGCTTTTTCTCCTTTATGCTTTGCTGTGGTATCTAAATGTTCTACGATTAAGGTGTGTTTTATAGTCACCAAAAAAATGCATGATGTGAAAGGAGAAAAGAATGTTAGTTTCATAAAATCCCTCAAGAGCGACTTTGGCAGCTTTATCTGATTTTTGAGGTCTTGAAAATTAGCCTGGGTCATAAAGCAAGGAGACTGTGACATTTTCTGAAATTGGATCCCATACTGCTGGTTTCTGTCTGACCTTAGGAAAAAAGCAGGAAGTAAAAAAGAAGTTTATCCTTGGAAAATTCATTCTCTCCTTGCCATGTCCTTAACCCTCTTCCTATAACCTTGCCACCACCCTTGGAGTTCCCATCACTTTTCCTGTTTTGCTTTTTTTCCTTATCATTACTTAAAATATACCCTGAGGATAGGCTGTAGTATCAGTCATCTACACCTTAGTATAAATTAAATTAATCAACATTACTTTAATCCCAATGTTATAAGTTCCTATTTGTAATTTAATTCAAAATCCGATTGTATGATAAAATGTACCAGCTAATGAATAAAGGAGCTGATGTCTGTCATCTCTAGATCAGACATCTAGGCTACTGGCTTCTCTGTTTTGGGAAAGGTAGTCCCTGGAACAAATCACACAGTGCTGTGATAAATTTTTCCACATTAGCTATAGAATATCACCATTTAGTACCTCTATCCCTTTAGAAAGAACTCACTTTCCAGAGACACAGTTAAATGTAAGAATGGTTGCAGATAACGTGCAGTCTACAAAAATATTCATAAGCCCCACGGCTTTTGAAAAACAGTATTCTTTATTTCTACTTGGGAAACTGTATTTGCTACACATAGACATTGAGTATATATGTTGAGTGCCTGATAAATCAAAATGTATAAATGATTTTGAGTGCTAGATTTTGGAAACAGGAGAAAACTATATTCCAGAGAAGTTAAATAACTTGCTGCAGGTCATTCACCAGTCAATAAACTAGGGCTCGAACCAGAAAGAATGGTTTCTGATTCCTAGACTGGGCTCTTTTTGTTTCAATGTCTTAATCTCCCAAGCCACCTAATTCAAGTTCTGGAAAGATCTGATTACCTCAAGCCTTGGAATGATCCTCCAGTGCTTCCTTTTTGGGAATTCTTGGCAAGTAGGCTGAGAAATGAGGCACCGTGTTTCTGACCCTCCTGAGCCTTCTCTGTTTATTAGACCATGCTCTGCAGATAAAAGGGCAACAAAAGACAGGAAAACTTAGGAAGAGACAATCACTTGTTGTTGCTGCCTTTTCTATCCTTCTGATCCATATCACACTCAGTGTGGTCAATCCCTGGTCACCCACATGCCGTCCAGGACCTAGAGAGAGGCAGGACTTCCAAGGAGCTTCCTCACGAAGCACCCCTTAGGCAGAGTCTTGCAGCTGGGAGTCCACCACCCCAACCAGAGGAGTGAAGCAGTGGTGATCTTCTCTTATCCAGAGGTAGAGTGCAACAGTTAGTTGACTCTGTACCCATGGTCAGTCCTGGGGTCACCTTCTAGGTGTCCAGGCCCACCTAGACAGCATCTAGGCCTCCCAGTCCTTGTGTACCCTGTAAATTTTCCAGCACAAACCTTCCTGCTGTCACCTGAATCCAAAAGGAGATCTTGACCATGACTAGTCAATGTGCACTCCATAAAGAATCTCAGTACTTGTCATTTATAGATTTGTTCACTCAGCTAAAATATGGCAAGTGGTTCCCATACACAAGGCACTGGGCCAGGTTCCCACTGCATAAAGAAGCCAATCACACAGCTTCTGCCCTCAACAAGCTGATGGGAAATCAGAAAGACAGACAAATGACAGAAAGCCAGGTTAATTTATACCCAGATAGACAAACTCCTCTTTATTCTTTATGACTCAGATCAATTATCATCTCCTTCAAAAGGTTTCCTGGCCATCTACAGGCAGTTACATGGTGATCCTTCTGTGCCCTGATGATATTTGGTTTGCTCCTCAACAATAGCCATTTCTCGTGTTGTTAAAATTACTTCTGTGCTCATGTGTGTCATTCTTTAAATTGTATGAAAAAGGGAGAGGGTGGAGGGAGGAAAGGCAGAAGCTATTATTCAACATCTCCAGACACCCAGAGTATCTGGGACTTTTAAGACAAGTGAATGAATGGATGAATGGGTGAATGGGTAAATGAATGAATGAATTTTCAAGCTCTTTTGTCCTCTACATAGATTTCCTTGACCCAAATATGTATCCACCCGTCCAAACAGGAGGTAAATATCCTCATGGCTTCGGAATATGTGAACTGTGGTTGTTTCCTGCTCATTATCCAAACTCACAGAATTTGGAGCAATGAAAGCCTCATCTCACTTAGCCAAAAGCAATATTTTCTTGTCTTTGCTTTTGTTTTTCCAGGAGTGTAATGAAAGTGCATGTGCATGTGGGTGTGTATTTGTCCTGCACATAATTAGGCAGTGTCTTCAATAACAGGTGTCCCTCCAATAGGGCTCAGTGGTGACGGAGGGCATGGAGGGGGAAACCAAGGAGATAGGGAGAAGAAGCCTGCCAAAACCGATCACCAAATGAATTCAACCAATTCATTAAATCTGAACGCACACTCAGCCACAGGAGGATAAATTGGACCAACACCCCAGCGTCAGGGTGGTTACAGCGTCTGTTAAATGGCCTGTTAATGTGATAGTTGAGACTTTTCCACAGAAATTACACTGGCTACAGTCACAGCATGGCACACCTGGCTCCAGATCACCTCCTACCAGGCAGTGTCACACTGCAGGCCAGGGAGATAGGGATTTTCAGTGCTACCTGGCCTGGCCTCCTGCCATCATTTTGAGCTCTCTCTGTTTTGTAGCCTATTTCTTTTAAGAGAATGCCAGTCATCTCCATTATAACGTGCATAGTGCCATAATTTTTGTTTGTTCTTACAAGTGGAATAAAGATGTTTTACCCCACAAATAAGAACAGTTTAAAAACAGTTTGTTACAACTCTTTTGATGAAGTCAGTCAACAAGGCATGAATAGTAAGGTCAGGTGGCACCCTTGTCCAAGAAAAGAAGGTGGTAAGCATTGAAGAGCAAAACACAAGGACCCTGAATAGATTCAAGACAGCCCTTTATCTTTGGTTTTCTGTATAGTCCAAAGTACAGGTGAGAGAAATCCATGCTCAATGAGTCATCAACACTTACTGACCACCAATGTAGCCAAAGACTGTCTAGCTGATTCAGGGCACCAAGAGGGAAGAGTTGATATGGGTGTCACGTACAAGTCACTTCTCACTTAAAGAGTAAGATCACACCTGTAATCCCAGCACTTTGGGAGGCTGAGGCGAGCAGATCACCTGAGGTCAGGAGTTTGAGACTAGCCTGGCCAACATGGCGAAACCCTGTCTCTACTAAAAATACAAAACTTTGCGCCCGGTGTGGTGGCAGGTGCCTGTAGTCCCAGCTACTCGGGAGGCCGAGGCAGAGGAATCACTTTAACCCGGGAGGTGGAGGCTGCAGTGAGTCAAGATTGCGCCACTGCACTCCAGTCTGGGTGACAGAGCAAGACTCTGTCTCAAAAAATTAAAAATAAAAGGATAGGTAGAGCTAAACAAATTAAATGTCATGATACAGATAACTGGCAGAAATAAGACTTGGTGTATTACTTAGCAAAAATCCTTAAGATCCTTTTACAGTGCTCACTTTGGCAGCATATGTACTAAAATTGGAATGAAACAGAGATTAGCATAGGGCCTGCACATGGATGACATGCAAATTCATGAAGCATTCTATGTTTTTTTAAAAAATCCTTTTAAATCCCTCACCCATTTATTTAACATTCATCCATTCAATGTTCTCATTGTGTCATGTTATGATCATGTAGTCCTTTTCCTAAGAACATACTCTGTATGACTATATTATATTTTTGGCAAAAAGATGAATCAACCCTTATCCGTTTATCATTCAACATTCATTCATTGACTTCCCACCTCAAGCCATGCTATAATCATGTAGTCCTTTCTTAGGAATATACTTTTCCTATATATCATATGATATTTTATTTTGTTTTGCTTTTGGTGGTGGGGAGGATGGTGTATATCAGAAAACTTTCCATATTGGTTTGAGTGACTTAGCAAGAAGACACTTCCACGGCTGAATCCATTTCATTCAATAGCCAGGCAGCGAATGTAGACTCTTAGGGTTATAGAGACCTTGGAAGTGATCTCCCCAAGCTCCTTGCAGGAAAGACAAAGAAGTTATGGGCCCGACATGGTGGCTCACACCTGTAATCTCAGCACTTTGGGAGGCCAAGGTGGGGGGATCATGAGGTCAGGAGACCGAGACCATCCTGGCTAACACGGTGAAACCCCATCTCTACTAAAAATACAAAAAATTAGCCTGGTGCGGTGGCACGCCCCTGTACTCCCAGCTACTTGGGAGGCTGAGGCAGGAGAATCACTTGAACCTGGGAGGCAGAGGTTGCAGTGAGCCGTGATAGCGCCACTGCACTCCAGCCTGGGTGACATAGTAAGACTCTGTCTCAAAAAAAAAAAAAAAAAAAAAAGAAGATACGTTACTCCTGCAAAGTAATCCAGCTGCTACATCATGGAGCTGGAGCAATAGCCCAGGTCTCCTGGCAGTGGATTCAGCGTACATTCCGCTCCTTCACACTGCTGGGAATTCCAGTGTCTTACATTTATCTTCTCATAACAAAACACAGTCTGCTCTCTCCAACTTGGCCCTGGTGCTGAGGACGTCTCTGACATCCCTGCCACTCTCATCTCTGAAGGAGGATGCTTGGCTCCTCACAGTGCTATCAGCTCCCCCACCCCATCTGTGTGCATGAGGACTGAGTCCCTGTGAGGCAGAGGGTCCTCAGGCTGGAGCAGCACAGGACACGCCAGGAACAGACGGGCCAAACTGGTCTTTTTTTTTTTTTTCTTTTTTTTTTGAGACAGAGTCTTCCTATGTCACCAGGCTGGAGTGCAGTAGCATGATCTTGGCTCACTGTAACCTCTGCCTCCTGGGTTCAAGCCATTCTCCTGGCTCAACCTCCCAAGTAGCTGAGATTACAGGTGCCCACCACCACGCCCAGCTAATTGTTGTATTTTTAGTAGAGATGGGGTTTCGCCATGTTGGCCAGGATGGTCTTGATGTCCTGACCTCGTGATCAGCCCTCCTCGGCCTCCCAAAGTGCTGGGATTACAGGCATGAGCCACTGCGCCCAGCCCCCAAACTGGCTTATTTTCATTGCTTACTTGGGAGTAAAATCCTTCCATGCCTGGATCCTTTTCTTTTAGCCCCTGATACTGGCAAAATAGTTTCTCAAAGGCCTGGCTTGAGAAATGGCCATCCTCCCGCTACCCAAACCCCATTTTTCTCCAAGGTGCTTCTCTCTCCCCATTGGCAAAGCCTTCAAGTATTTTTCTGGTCAACTCAACTGCATACTGCAGTGCGTGCTCCAGATCTAAATCATGCATGCAGTCTGGTGAATTATAAGCTCCTGTTACTCCATTTCTTCAGCCTAGGTTGAAACTTCTTTCAGCTCTTCAAGGCTCCTGGAACTCAAGATCCACCCCTTCTGGCCTCTTTTAACAATTCAGTCCACGTTACCTGTGCTCTGCCAACCAGAGTCCTTCAACTAGCCTTTTTCTTGGTCTCTTCTTTTCAATGCCATGAGCCAAGCTCTGTGTGTTAGTTTTAATGGCTGTTCTCAAGGGCAAGTCACCCCCTGTACTAGTTTCCTGTAGCTACTATAATAAACTACCATAAATTTGGGGGCTTAAAAACAATAGAAATGTGCTCCTTCACAGTTCTGGAGGTCCAAAGTCTGAAATCAAGGTGTTGGCAGGACCATGCTCCCTTGGAAGACCCTGGGGAGAGTTCTTCCTGCCTCTTCAAGCTTCTGGTGGCCCAAGGTGTTCCTTGGCTTGTGGCTGCACCATTCCAATCGCTGCTTCCATCTTCACATGGTCCTCTCCTCTTCTCTCTGAGTGTTCTCCTCTTCTGTCTCTTTAAGGACAGTTGTCATTGGATTCAGAGCCCATCCAGATAATCCAGAGTAAACTCATCTTGAGGTCCTTAACTTAGTTATCTCTACAAAGACCCACTTCCCAAATAAGGCCACACTCACAGATTCTGGGGGTAAAGATCTGGACATGTCTTTTGGGGGTAGCCACCATTCAGTTCACTATGCTCTCTTCTAGTAATGCTGTTCACCCCTATGCAGAAGTTGAATTATTGTAGTTTGGATATTGGATGCTGGATGTTTGGTTGGCATCAGAGGTACAAGATGAATGAGGCATGCTTCCTACCCTACAGAAGTTCTTCATCAGGTAAATCAGACACAAGTGCAAATAGGTCATTATACTACAACATAACAGATGCTATTTTTGTATAGGAAAAGTCCCATCACTCATGAATTCTATGGCCCATTTCCCTGAGAATTCTCATATTCCAAGCAGTGTCACCTTCCTTTTTGTTCATATGTCACTGAATCTGCTTAATCAGAAAAATGAATACTGGTGGGGAAATGGGGGTGGGAAGGGGGACAAGGGAGATTTATTCCCTGGAGAAGTCTCTGTAGGCAACATATGTCTGTCTGAATATTAGGAATAAGAGTAGACATTTGACAAAAACACTACACTGGGAGTATAATGCTTCTGAGGTCTGAGCAGAGAGCATCTCAGAGTCAGAAACAGCTCACACATGGACAGAAGTGATGGCTCCCTGAAAAGGCCTCCATGGATTTGCGCACAAATCGACGACCACTTGGATGGACGCCAAGAAGCAGCCTCACTCCTTCACTCTTGAGTTGTTTAAGCATTTTAATACTTTACTCATGCGGGGCTGTATCTGAGACCTGTGTGAAACCTTGCATGTTTAGTACTCCAGATAGGAGATGGGTTGGTTTAAAGACAGGGAAACAAGGCCAGCACTTCACTTCAAGACCAGTCATCCTAGCATCCTTTCCCAAATGTTCTATGTAGCGAGGAGGGTGGGGTTGTGCAGGACGCTATTCAGGATGATAAGGATACTGGGTGGAGAGAAAGCAAACAATGCTTTGTGCAGTGATTCTATGATTCCTATCTCACAACAGAGATTCCTTTCTGAGGCTAAAGTCTTCCATAATCTAGGGGGCAAACTGTGGATAATGTTCGGCCTTGAAAGCTGGTGCCTACAGGCATCAGGGAGCTGGGTAAGAAGACAATGTGCAAATTGGCTGGAATAGTGAGATTCAAAAATAGAACTCAATGTTGTTTACTACAGTGAGTCCTACACTCTACTTTTTAAAAACATACATGGTATCTTGTAGTAAAATGAATTTTCTTATGATTATTTTCATAGTTGAGAGTCACTGAATAAGATTTAGATGAACCATCTGAAACGAGCCTTTATCTTGTGTCCTGCTATTATCTTTCAAAAAAGGATTGCATCCTGGAAGAGAGTTTCAAAATAGTTAGCAAGAACCCATCAAAGAAAGTTCAAAGCACAGCTACAAAATTGTCTAGAAAGCCAGGCTTTGGTGACTCTGCCCAGTAAAGAACTTTTTCTGCATGAGATGCATGGCAGTTGAAAAATACCATGTTGCCAATTCTAATCTCCGCTCTTCAAAATGACTTCTGTTAAGTTCTGAGTATAACATTTTGACAAATAAGAACAATAATAATAATTGTTATACCATCCCCAGTACTATAAAGGATAATACCTCCATCTACCTGATTTTACTGCCGAAAAATATTATGAAGGGAGTGAGGAGTTGACCTAGCCAACTGCTAGGTTCTCTCAGCCTACACTTTAGCCAAAAGAGGGCAATTTGTGCTGACCCTATCTAGTCCTTGAAGTTCAGGGTGACTCCAGTGAGACATGGCATTACATTATAGAAGTGAGTCTACCACACACACAACAAAAGCTTCTGATTCATTTATGCTTCCTAATTCAGTCTATTAGAAAAATCAAGAAACTCTATCCTTCAAAAAATAGAGAGAAATGCACGGGTAAATTCTGTCTACAGATCTCATTTAAGAAGTCAGTGTTATGATGCACTGTTAAGCATATACAGTCCCCTTTGTTCTTCCAGGATTGATTTTTTCACAACGTTTTAATAACAAACATTTCATGAGGGCCTACTATGTGCCAGGCATTGTGCTAAGGATTAGAGATGGGGAACGTAGAATACTGAATAAATTAGAATATAATGTGATAATCGATATTACAGGAGAACATTCAAAGTATTGTCAGAGAAAAACCTAGTAAGATGTTCCTTAAATTTATAAGACAGAGAAATAAAATAGAAATAAGGATTAAAATATAAGCACTCTAAGCTGTTGACTGAAGGAGCCGGATCTCTTGGTCCAGACATTCTAAACGTCTGTGAAAAGTTTCTTCCCTTTTGTTCCTGATTAGAGTGAGCTCTTTTTAGTTTCCATAGCTTCTAAAGTCATCTCCTATCGCCCAGCTCTTAAATGGCAAACTGTTTAAATTTAGCAGTCTTTATGTGCAGGAAAAGCCAATATAATCCAAACCTCCTGTTTAAAATTCCTGGAAAGTAAAAGCCAAATCTTTCCCACCTCGCAGTCTGAACCGATCACATTCTGTATCCATACCCGTATCAGATGATTGTTCAGAAGAATACCAATTAGAGCCCCTTAGAGGTTGCATGTCCACCCCCTCCACTGATGGACTACTCCTTCGACAATACCCCTGGTGGATGATCTGCCGCATCTATTTTCCCACTTGCAATGGAGTGCTCAGGGCTTTATGTGGCAGCCTGCTTCATCGTTGGCCAGCCCTAGTGATTAAAATCTTCTTTATGACATCAAACCAGACTTTCCTTCCTGAGAACTCCCACCCATTGGCACTATAGCTCTTCTCTATAGCAGACTAAAAGAAACCACTGGAAGGAAAATTTAAGGGTGTCTTATTCAGTCAACAACTAACAATTGCAACTAGAAGACATTTCAAAAATGAATTCAAGGAAAGATCAAATAGACTATAAAGAAGAGGGAGAATAAAATGAAGTGGCTTCCTAACCAACGCTTCTCAATCTTGTATTCAGGACATAGCAAATACAGGGGGGAAAATATCCGTAAGACACACTGATGAAAATGTGGAGGATGTGTACAGCCAGAAAGGACCAGCCTGGGGCCTGTGACCAGCCTACATGTCCCTGCTGCTCTAAGCTGAGCCAACTGTGTCCTCTCCACCATCCAGGCCTGCCCCAGGAAAAGGGTTCCAAATTTCAGTTACACCAGTGCAGCTGCCCTGCCCTGAGCGAGATATGGGCACGGCAAGAACAAACTGCAAGAAGGCCCCACTGGTCAGTCCATTTTCACCTTATGTAGCAGGTTGAATGGAGGCCTCCCAAAGATATGTCCACATCCCCAAACCCTGAATCTAACTTTATTTGGAGAAAGGATCTTTGCAAATATAATTAAGAATGTGGACATGAGATCATCCTCAATTATATAGGTAAACCCTAAATCCAAAGACAAGCGTCCTTATCAAAGACCCAAAGAGGAGAGGCTGACGGAGAGAAGAAGGCCATGTGAGGACAGAAGCACAGATGGGAGTGGGGCAGCCATGAGCCAAGGAACATTGGGAGCCTCCAGAAGCTGGAAGAAGCAAGGAAGGATTCTCTCCTGGAAACCTCTGAGGGAGCGCCAGGTCCTGCTAAAACCTTGATTGCAGATCTCTGCCCTCCAGATCTGTGAGAGAATACATTTCTGTTGTTTTAAGCCACCTAGTTTGTGTTGATTTGCTACAAAAGCTCTGCAAGACAAATATACCTTAACTTGTTTTCAAGGACAAATTACATCCTTAAGGTCCAGAGAGCCAAATCATACCATTATCAAACTTTCTCACAGGTTTCTTTTATTTTCTCATGGGTCATACCTCTGATTAATCAATTGGTCAACAACCATGCTTAAAACCTACCAAACTGGTCTAGCAAGGAAAAGAAAATGGAACCAGAAAAGATCTCTAAACATGTCCTTAAGGTTTTCACTGGAATTCATTATTAACATACAAGTAATACATCTTTGGGGTTGTCTGTCCTCAACAATTTAATCTCCTTTCTCTGAAAATCATACCCCACCGTCGTAGGATTGAGCCCTAAGACATGTTTGAACACTTGACCCCCTCCTCACTCCCCACTAGACTGGTTATAATTGAATGGATCGGGGTGCACCTTGACCCAAGCTGGACCAATTACATTTTCTCTCCTGGAAATTGGAATGAAGGTAGTTAGGCTAATGGGGCTGGTTGGGTGCTAGAGGACAAGTGAACTCGGCAGCTTAAAGGAGGCCATCTCCTGCATTTTTACAGATGCAGAAAATCACTCTGGAGAGAGAAGAATAGGAGAAATGCCAGAGAAAAACAAAGATCAGAGACAAAAAGAAGGTCCTCTCTGGGTCCCTCATTACTCCCCAAGCCCTCATTATAGTCTCTCAAAAAGCCCTATAGCACTAAGATTCTGTGCCACACACCAATGTCCTTCCTGCCCCTTCTGTTTGAGTGACAGGTATATCTATTTATCTGTCTTCATATCTCTAAAGATAGCTATGTATCTACACTTATATGTAATACATATGACATTTCTTAACCAGGCACAAAATAATTTTGAATCTAAACACTTAAGGAACTTTTAAGCCTTGCATCCTTGTTTCAAATAAATTGTTAATTTTATTCCACCCATTATCCATTAAATTAGAAATTAATAGGTGTTTATTGCATGCATACTAAGGATGATTCTGAAGAATTTTTTGAAAGTCCTTTCTTTCCCTTGAAGTCTTTATATTCTAATTAAGATAAAATACACACGGTGACCTAGTGCTCCATATCTCACCTTGTCATAATTACTAGTAGTTTTCAACCTTTGTACACTGAAAATTTCTGTATACTCCATCCATTCACACATTGTACATTGACACCTCTCAACCAGTTCTTGTATGCCAAATTCAAATCTGTATAAATCAGCTGGAAAATGAACATTCGGAGCTATTGCATGATGGTGCTGTCAGCCAACAGTTGAGTTCGGGTGATGTTGCCATTTTTGTCTGAACAGCAATGTTTCTGCAATTAATTGAAAATTTTTATTGCGTTTTCCCCCTATGGTTTTATAAAAATAAGTGGAGAAATGGAAAAGCTCTGAAATTTAATTCTTATGAACTTAACACCATCAAGATAAGCTGAAAGTTGAGCAATCTAATGTGGATTTAAAGCTGCGAAGGAAAATAACAAAACTAAGAAACTTTTATGAGATGCTGTAACTATTCCTTGATAGACTGGATCTGAAAGCAGAGGTATGATTAGGGATTTGATCTTTTTTATAGCCTTTTAGGAAGGGAATTCCTTCCTCTTCTATTGTTCTGCTTTCACACATTCCTACGAGCTGGAAGTTTTCAGGAAGTCTTTGCCTATTAAGGTAGTGACCTGCCATGGTCAGTACAGGTGTGGGTCGGATCTTGACACAGTCTTCCACTCCTATGTATTTCTGAAGCTTCAGGATAAGGTCAGGAAGGCACTTTCCTTGGGCTAACTCTCCTACCCCCGAATTTTATAATTCATTCATCATGTCTTCCTGCTGTAGTTCTACAATTAGCGCTTTGGTCTAGTCCAGTGGTTCTTAATCAGCAACACTTTTGCCCCAAGGAGACATCTGGCAATGTCTGGAGGCATTTTTGATGGTCACAAATAGCAGGGGTTATTCCTGGGGTTTAGCAGGCATCAGCTAGGGATGCAGCCCCCCACCACCGTGAATTATCTGGCCCAAAATGTCACTAGTGCTGCCACAGTTGAAAAAACAAACAAACAAACAAAAGAAACCACTAGCTCCTAAACTCTGCTTTTAATTTCTATTTTAAAATTCCTTGACTCCAACTGACTCACATCTCTCTGGATCATGGGTTGTATTAGTCTATTGCATCGCTATAAAGATACACCTGAGGCTGGGCATTTTATAAATAAAAGAGGTTTCATTGGCTCATGTTCTGCAGGCTGTACAGGAAGCATGGTGCAGGCATGTGCTCCTGGTGAGGGCCTCAGGAAGCTTCCAGTCATAGCAGAAGGTGAAGAGAGAGCCGGTGCATCACATGGCAAGAGCAGGAGCAAGAGAGACCAAGGGGTAGGGTGTGCCACATTCTTTTAAACAACCAGATCCTACCCACACCCTACTCTTGAACTCAGAGTGAGAGCTCACCCAGTTTTTGGGAGGACAGCACCAAGACATTCATGAGGGATCTGCCCCCCATGACCCAAACACCTCCCACCAGACCCCACCTCCAACATCAGGAGTCACATTTCAACATGAAATTTGGAGGGGACAAACATCCAAACCCTATCATAGATTTTCCTAATTGGGGTGGTGTAAGTGACTATGCACATAGAGATGGAGATGAAATCAGAAAGAAACTGAGTAACAGCCGTTATTCGCTGAGTATTTACTTCAAGCCAGCCAAGCACATTACCATAGGTAATCCTCCTAACAGCCCTAAGAGGTAGGTCTACTGTCATCCTCATATTACAGATGGGAGAGCCAAGGCTAAGAAGGTTAAATAACATGTACAAAGTCACAGAGGTCTTTAGAGACTGAGCCAGGATTGGAAATCAGGCAGTCTGACTCAAGAGCCGGAAGAACAGACTAGGTAGATGAATGAAAAGCCAGAAAAACAGATAAGGTTCCAACACAAAACGTAAAAGAAAGGAGAAAAGGAGAACTAGGTAGAGACACACATGGAGCAGGTCCCGTGGGTCAGGAATACAGTTCACACTGGATTCCTCAGGGTTCTTTATGCCAACGCAGTTGAGAAACAGCAGTTCCGAGCACTGAGACTCGAATCTCAAACCTTGGTTCCCGCTGCAGCCCTGCTGTTTTAACGCTGTCCCACCGTGGCTTTATCATTGCATGTGGAGAGACTTTTCCCCCCGCTCAGACTCATTAAATTCTGTTAACCAGAACTCGTTTCATGCAAAAGCTGCAGAACTGTGAAGAGGAGCTGAAAGCATGTGGTATGTTTAAATATGCTAGAGCAATATGCTGACCAGCGAGGTTTGTTTATTAAAATTCTTATGCGGGGTGAAGCTCAAATGAGCTTATGTCAGCTAGTTCATAGAGAGGCCCTGTTTTCAAGATTAGGCTGCTGTTTGTCTTCTTTACGGAGCTGACAGAGGACATTCTGGAGAATATAATACATTATGCCAAAAACATCTGTATTATAGAAAATCAACAATGAAGAGCAACAGCTCCAAATGGAGCTAGTACTTTGAAAGGCGTTTATCTGTCAAGAGATTAAACTGCTATTTTCATCTACGGAGGAAACTAGAGGAAGTGTAAACCAGTTTAAGAACAGCAGAAACTAGCCTACTTTTTTCTGCCAAGTTATTTTTGCACATTCAGGAAGACACAGGATGGGTTTTTGTTTTGTTTTTAATCAAACTGAAGAAAATACTTAGAGAGCTATCTTTTCTCAAATCAGAGTACTCAGAGCTGAATGTTTTCCTTATTCTTTTCCCCATAGAATATATGCCTCTGAATGAGACCCAATGGATGAAAGGGGTTTGCTTCTCACAAGGAAGTGGCCTCTTACCGTCCTATTTTAAAAC
Organism: Homo sapiens; assembly: GCF_000001405.40. Lineage (NCBI taxonomy): Eukaryota > Metazoa > Chordata > Mammalia > Primates > Hominidae > Homo > Homo sapiens. The sequence goes on from NC_000006.12 coordinate 14,656,443, forward strand.
CCCAGAGTGTCACAGGCTTACTCAGATGAGACAGGTCGCTGGCAAACAAATGATATTTGTCACCAATTCCTGCATCAGGGTAATGAGAATAATAAGAAGAAGTGCCTAACATATATTAAGCATTTTCTATCACTAGGTGTTTTATTATACATTCATTATTTCATTTAATCCTCACATCTCTATGAGTTGGGCACCAAAATGATCTACTTTTTAAAAAATCTTATTAAAGTATACCACACATACAGAAAGTTACACATATTTTAAGTATGAAACTCAATGAATTTCACACTCTGAACTGGCCCGAGTAACCATCACCCAGAACAAGACACAGAATACCTACCTCCAGGCCTCTCATGCCTCCATCCAGCCGCACCCCTCAGGGGCAAGCACTATCCCAACGTCTAATCACATAAAGTCGTTTCCCCAAACTTTCAACTTTAAATAAATGCCATTTTACAACTTCCCCTTTCATATCCAGCTTCCTTCACTCAACATTATGCTTGTAGATTCATCCATATTCTTGTGAGTAGTTGTATTGTGCTGTTGTACTGTGGATTGTGTATAGTTATAGATTATTAATCCTTACAGTTGTAGAATATTCCATTATAGAAACACACCACAATTTATTTTTTCTATTTTATTGATGATGGGTTTGCGACCATTTGAAGGTTAAGGTTAAGGTTTAAGCTTAAGAATACTGAGACCCAAGATGTTAAAAATAACTTACAAACCTAGTAAATGGTGGATCCAGGATTACAACTGAAGTTGGCTTAACTCCAAAGCTCATGCTGTGAAGCACCATGCTGCACTGTCTTTCAGAAGAGCAAAGCTTGCAGGGACCTCTCCTTGATGGGTCGAAAGGTCTTTTGTACAAATAATTTGGGGGGCCCGTGGGAAGAAGATATTTGAATAACGTGCCACAAGTCCAAATCCACCACCTCTACAGAGCTCTTTGCCTTTGGGCATGTCTCTTTGCTTCTGATTCCCATCACTTTTTCTCTTTTCTTTTACTTTGATTGACTGTTCCAATAGCCCTATCAGCATTGTGGGACTTAACTGAGTAGCAGAGCCTGGAAACACCTCATTGCATCTGAAACCTAGAGAAGACGCTGGATGTAAGACACATACTTACAGCAACAGCCACTGACAAGGTGAGCACTCTGATGGATACCTGAGTGAAGAAGAGTATGGAGCGTGTCCAAATTCAGTGTACGTGTACATTCTAACTGGTGTGTTGGCTCACCTGTCTTCCTCTCTCTCATGTTTTTCCTACAAATAGTTGATTATGCTGATGCCAGATCATTCTGATGATAAGCATCTATTTGGCACATCCAGTAAACTGATCCATCATAAGGATAATTGTATTCGAATTAGCATTCATATTTTTTACATGCTTTTAGGAGGAAATGGAAAGGAAAGGAAGAAAAATGATACTTTCAAGGAATCACTTAGAGATAGAGGAAATATCAATATTTGAGCTCTTCTAACGGTTTGCTCTCTTCAAATGGATAGAAATCCAATGAAGAGGCTCTGCTCAGCTCAGTAAAGACAGAACACATCTTAGGCAACCTTTTCAGCCCAAGCTTTGGATTTTTCCAACCCTCACAATCAGAAGTGACTGTGGTTGGACTGAGGAGAGCAGGCTCAGAGAAACTCAGGCAAACCTCAAGGAACACTTTCAGCCCAGCTCTCACTCACTGCATCTCAGCCCAGCTCTCTGGTGTTTTCCTGCAGATGGGCACAGAATCATGTGCCTAGTAGGTTATCTGGCCAGTTGACAACTGATCATGCAGCAAATGCACGATTACTGTAGGCCAATGAACATTGCTTGCTAAGATGAGAGAAATCACTGGATCAGCTGAGGTCTGAGCCAGTGTGTCACTTCTATAAATACTGTTGCGGTTTCCAGGTACAGCACCAGAAGAAACCCATCTTTGCTTTACAGAGTCTCTAGATCCTTGTCTTCTCTTCTGTGTCCTCTGATGGAAGGAAGAGGCTGCCAGCACCAACTACCTTCAATTGCCAGGGCTGCTGTAACAAAGTACAATAGATGTGATGGCTTAAACAACAGAAATGTATTGTCTCACAGTTCTGAAGGCTGGAAGTCCAAGATCAAGGTTTAGGCACGGTGGCTTCCCTCTGAGGGCTGTGAGGGAAAAATGTATTCCAGGCCTCTCTTTGCGGCTTGCAGGCGGCCATCTTCATATTCGCATTGTGTTCTGTCTATGTGTGTTTCTCTCTGTCCAAACTTGCTTTTTTTTTTTTTTCTAATAAGGGCACTAGTTATATTGGATTAGGGACCAGCTTCATGATCTCACTTTAACTTAATTGCCTTTGTAAAGAGCCTATCTCCAAATAAGGTCACATTCTGAGGTTCTGGAGGTTAGGACTTCAACATATGGATTGAGGAGAAACACAATTCCACCCGTCGCACCGACACTCACAAAAATGTATTCTCTTCTCCTCAACACACAGAGCTTAACCCTCCCCAGACTCTCTAGGGTCCACACTCTATAAGCTCTGGTCTCAAGTAAATAACCTTATCAAAAAGGAGGAGGTGTACTTGACATGGCCCCGCTGTTCCCATTGCTTTGTGGTCTTCTAGTATCTCTCACCACAGAGAATGATGTTTGGGCTGCCAAGATCCCCTGAGGCCAAACGACTCAGAGGCAGTCCTGTAACTTCCCCTTCACGTGCCTGGTGGCCTCATTCCAAGCCTCTCTCATCACAGATGCAGGTTCATCCCTCCTTCCTTTTGAGGATTGGACTCCAGCTCCCTTCTCCTCTTCCGCTGCCCTGTGAGCAATCTTTTAAGATCTCACTCAATTCATGTCTTCTGTCACAAGTGCTTCTCACTCACATCTTCAGAACAGAACAGAACAGAACAGCATCTTGTTCCAGTTTGTTTTACATGGTTTGACAAAGGAAGAAGGACAAGCATTTCCTCTTTCCATCTGTAATTTCTCCGTAGCTCGCCTAAGCTGCCACTGACAGCCCAGGTCAATGCCTTGGTTTCCTGGGGCTGCAAACTTCTCTTCCAGGAATCCTAGCTTGGATGCTGCTGCCAGGCAAGGAGAACTGGAATGGCTTGCTGGCATGAATCTTAACCCATCCCTCTTTTCTGGAGGGTACAAGAATCCAGGAGATTTCATCTGCAGCTAAATGAGAGGAGAATCAATACTTGATTTTCACTTTCCTGCATACAAATCTCACTTAAAACATTCTGTTTTGTCTCTGGTCCTATTTTTCATGGAGTCTTTTTTTTTTTCACTTTTAATTTTGAAAAGCTACTTCATATCCCCCTCAGAATTCATACAAATTCCTCCTGTTCAATTTAAAAGCAAAATCAAATTGCTGGAAGTCACTCACATAGGTAGAAAGGAAGAGATAACGCTTTTGAGAATGACTTGTAAAGGTATTTAAAAATATAACACTTGTCCTCATTTCTTTAAAAATGTGAAACTTGAGGATTTCTTCTGAGAATGTTGAGGCTGTGAATGGATGGGTGGATAGATGTGTTTCCATTAAGGGACTGGGAAACCATCTGCAATACCTGGCTTAGTCCTCCTAGGGGACAAATAACATTCTAGTAATAACTCAGGTGATTAGGGAAGCACATACATTCTTTCAAGATGAAAAGTCACTCTTTACAGCACTATTTGCTAACAGATATAATTACTATCTGCAATTAACTGATGAAAAACTATGGGGAAGAAAGAGAATGGATGTGCAAGTGCCTAGCCCCACCCCAAGACATAACTCTCAATACATGTTTACATTATGCAAATCTTAATTGGTATTGAAAAGTCAAAGACAAAGGCGGAAACAAAACGCCTACTTGCTAAGCCAGTGAAATTCATTTCATTAAGCAGCCTGGTTTTCCACATCAAAATATAAATGTGTCTTGCTCCAATTAGTAGATATCATGCAAAAACAAAAGAGTTCAAAATATTTGGATATATACTTTTGTAATTCCTTCATGCAATAAATATTTACTGAGCAGTTGTTATGTGCAGGCAACGGAAGTAAAAAGATGAATGAGCTCAGGATGCTAAGAAACTTGGAGTCTGATAAGAGATAAGGAAAAATTTTTAAAGGCAGTTATGGTATAGGAGCATGCAGGCAAGTCACCTAACCCAGTCTTGGAGGGTAGAAAAGGTTTGAAAGGAAGTGCTATTGAAGCTGAAGCCTGAAGCTAGTCAGACAGGTTGCAATAATCTAGAAGAGGAAAGAAAACAGCGAGAGCATAGGCAGGAGAAATAGAGGAAAGTCATCAAATTAGAGATTTAGGAGAGAAAATCGACAGAATTTTCTAATGGCTATTCCCTTGTGTGTTACAGATTATGATACAGAATAGAGAAGAGGAGCAAATGCAAAGATGATTCCTTTGACAAGATGAAAAACGGTACTCTAATACACCTGCTTTGTAAGTCTCTATTTTCACACATAGCAGGCTTGTTTACAGCTGGCTAAAGATCTGCTGCACAGCAGCACTGACCCCACTGCATTCTTTCTACACCAATAAATTTCCTCTGCTGCCTCATTCAGATAGCCTAGCTGCTGTTTAGAGTGAAATTCTTCCACCTTCAAGCAAGAATCAGAGGTTCTTTCAGGCTTCACACAATAATATGATGAAGAGGCACGCTGAAGGTGAATAAACACTAATTTGTTTGCGTGTGAATAAGGCATCATTTATGTAGCAACTTCTACAGATTGGGTACTGGAGATTTTTCCAAAACGAATAATGCTCCTGCTTTTGAGCTTACAATGTAGTAGGAAAGATAAACAGAGTGTGATAAGTGACATCATAAAGGCACAAACAAATTCCTGTGAGCACAAAGTGGAAAGCCCCTGAGCTGGAAAATAGCACTGAGGTGGTTTCATGAAAGAGGAAGCAGCAAGGCTGGGCCTTGAAGAACGTGAAGGAGTCACCCAGCTAGAGAGGGCAGGAGGGTGTTCCACGAAGTACAAACATCATGAACAGAAAGTCAAAGAGTGAAAGTGAAGGGAGGATTGGGGAGCAGTGAACAGACAATGTGAGAGAGCTGCGGCACCATGGAGAAGAGTAATGAGAGGGACATCCTGAAGGAAAGACAATATGAAGGACTGTCGATGCCAAAGAAAGGACTTTCAGCCATATGCACGCAATGGGGAGCAATGCAAGATTGTCAACCAAGAGACTGAGGTGACCAGATCTGCTTCACAGCAGCAGCAGCAGCAGTGTACATGGAAGATTAGAGGACCGAGAGAGATGCATGTCAGGAAAATCAGCTAACAGACTCTAAAATAACTAAGACTTGAGAAAGATCTGGATCAAAGCTTTAACAGCAGCAATAAAGAAAAAAGAAGAGACATTTCTGTAATCAGATCTAGAAAAGTTGATGACCCCCAGGATAACAGCCATGAAAGTGAGAAGTGCAGGACACAATGGTTTAAGCTTGGAATCTCAGCCACTCCGAAGTCGCTGAGGCAGGAGAATCACTTGAGCCTAGGAATTTCAGGCTGCAGTGAGCTACCTACAGTTGTGCCACTGTACTCCAGCCTGGGTGACAGAATGAGACCCTGTCTCTTAAGAAAGAAAAGAAAGAAAGAAAGAAAAGAGAATAAGAGTGTCTAGGGTTTCTAACTTGGCCATTTTATCGTTAAGGGAGATAAGTCAAGAATAGGAAAAGAATGTGCATACTGGGGAAGACCATGTACACTAAAAAGCAGAGCTTGTCATCTGTGCTGACTCCTTTTTTCTTCTTGTCTTCTCTACTTCTCAAGGTGCTGCTACCACAAACATGAGGAAACTTCTGTTAGGAGTTCAACCTTCAGAGAGGACAGCTGGCAGTGCAAGATGGTGACAGCCCTGCAATCAGGAGAAGAAAGTCATGAGAGTAAGGAATGATGGAGAGGGATGAGAGCGTTTTCTAGGATTTGAAGAGTTAAGAGACTCTGAATAATTGGCAGGGGAAGCTGGGATGGAGAACAAAGTAGGAGAAGAATCATTTGCTGTGAACTCTGTATTTGGATTCCATTTTTGATGATCTTTGAAAATGGGAATAAAGGATTTGGGTTATTTTTAAATTCCTTTGGAGGCTAGACAGTTTCCCTAAATTCAGCATTCCCTTTGAAACTAGACCGCATGAGTCTCTGGTTTGTGCAGGGTTACCCTGGGTCAGAGTTGCCTCTAGAATAAGCAATGGGTAAGTCCTTGAGCTGTTGGAAGCGCATGGAGTGCCTGACAGTCTTCTGCACATTAGGCATAGGGGACCCTTTTGGGGGAAGAGGATGAAGAATAGGAGGGGTGATGGGAGCATGTTGGGTTGTGCCAGTTTAAAGAGAACGTGAAAAAGATAAGCAAGCAAATGAGGCTGCAAAAGAGGAATCATGGGAGAATGAGGAAAATTAAGTGATCATAGCATCCCTGAGGTCAAAAGAGCAGGGGTTTCAGGGAGAGTGCCAGGGCATTAGTTAATACAAAGAAGAGACCACTGGCTTTGCACCCTGGAGGTCAATGCTATCCTCTTCCTAATCCATTACTATAGAGTGATGGGGACCAGCGTTTGTGTATTGAGGAGATAATGAGAAGTGTAAATGGAAAACAACCAGAAGATAACAAGGATAAACAACTCTTTCAAAAATATAGTCACAGGTCACTTAACAGGACTACATTCTGAGAAATGCACTATTAGACAATTTTATTGTTGTGCGAACATCAACAGAGTAGCTTACACAAACCTAGATGGTGTAGCCTACTAGGCTAGAAGGTGTAGTCTATTGATCCTAGGCTACAAACCTACACAGCATGGTACTGTACTCAATACTGTAGGCAACTATAACACAATGGTAAGGATTTGTGTACCTAAATATACCTAAACATAGAAAAGGGCTAGGTGCAGTGGCTCACACCTGTAATCCCAGCACTTTGGGAGGCTGAGGCAGGCGGATCACCTGAGGCCAGGAGTTTGAGACCAGCCTGACCAACATGGCAAAACCCGGTCTCTACTAAAAACACAAAAATTAGCTGGGCATGGTAGCACATGATTGTAAAATCTCAGTTACTCGGGAGGCTGAGGCATGAGAATTGCTTGAACCCAGGAGCTGGAGGTTGCAGTGAGCAGAGATCACGCCACTGGACTCCAGCCTGGGCAACAGAGCAAGACTCTGTCTCAAAAAATAATAATAATAAATTAAAAAAATAAACATAGAAAAGGTACAGTAAAAATATTGTATTATAATTTTATGGTACCACCATCATATATGCAGTCCATCATTAACTGCCACATCATTACATGGTACATGACTATATTTAATGGCTTAAAAACACAGAGATGTGCAAAATCATTTATGTCCAAGGGTTATTTGTCATAAAAACATAATGTACATAACAAAACTTGGGACAACCTAAAACACCAATACAAGGTATTGGCTAAATTTTAAAAGTGTTTTAGAGAAGCGTATTTAATAGAAGAGGAAAATGTTCACTGTTTAAGTGAATAAAACAAGATACAAAAGGCATATACAGTATGAGTTCAATTTTTTTCATCTATACAATACAGGCATAAAAATATTAAAATGATATATATTTGATAAACTGATAGGTAGATTTCATTTTCTTCTTTGTGTTATTCTGTATTTCTCTAATTTTCTGAGTTCATTTGGATGCTAAAGAATGTCTGTTTTTTTACTTAGGAAGAGAGTGGTTTTTCTGTTTGTATATTTTGGTATATTTTGGTTTGAGGTTTCGGTGGTTTTTTGTTTTGTTTTTGTCTTGAGTGATAGTACGTATATGAGATCATGTACAACTACCTACTGTTGCTCTCTTCCACTGGGATGTTTTTGATGTAATGGCTATGCATCTCGGCCTTGGGGGGCCTAGTGCAGCCTAGTGCAATGTCAAAGGGGCTGTCACCTGGTTCTTGCTGCCACCTGCCTGTGCAGGTGGCTGCTGAGGCAGCCTTTGGCCCACAGGTCCCCTGAGACATCCTTTGCCTCTGTCTGCCTTCCTGGCCCACTGGCTCTCCTGACCAGTCTAAGCACAGATGAGTGGAGGGCGGGGGGAATCGTCCTGGCCTGGCCTGTGCCACACTGGGGCTTGGGAGTTTCTGCAATGTCTGCTGAGGCCCCCCGCCCCCATCCTGGTCTGACTCTGCAGCCAGCTCCAGGAAGTAGAATGCAGGCTACTCTCTCCATAAGATCATGCTTTACCCACTGTCTTTCCTTCTTTCTTAACCCCAGGGAAACCTCATCTAGATTTGAGGATGAGGACGGGTGTAGGGAGCCAATCTCATCCTCTGACATTTCTCCCTAAGGGCGCAGTCCTTTGAAACACGTGTAAGTCAGCAAAAGGCACCCAGGCTATTTGCTTTCCCTCCTACCACATCCGTCCCCTGAGGCAACAAGCATTAGATGGCCTGGCTGCTTTGGGGGAGGGAGGGGCTGGCAAAAGGAGAATGATGGAGCTGGAAGGAGAGACAGAGTAGCCCTAGGTTAACCCTTCAAAACCATTATCCTGATGTGCAGATGTCGACAGAAAACAGCAAGCCTCTCAGTGCCAGCCTGCGTGCTGGAAGTGCACATGCATTATTAATTCACTGGGACATTTTTACCCTTTCCAGCCTGTTTCTCCAGGTTTCCCGCCTCCTTCCACCTTCTGTACAGGACACACCAGTTCCCTCAAGCCCAAAATGTGAGCAGCTGTCATTCTCTGCATAGCCAAGCTCGGCAGTCTGCCGAAAGGGACAAGCCAGTCCCGCAAAGGAATGATGTATGCCAAAAGATACTGCATTAGGATCTTCATTAACTGGAGGGCCAATAAATTTATGAAAATCATGAATCAGTTAATCCATTCCTTACGATGAATAGCTAATTAACATGAGGACAGGGCCTGACCCTTCTATTCATCTCTACTCACTCCTGAGCTTCCTGTTACAGACAGGCTCCAGGGCAGAAAACAGAACCCACATTGGCTAGCGTGTGTTCAGGTGGGTCCCCATGGGGCAAAGCCGAGGGGATGGACTAAACACAACCTTCTCTTAATGTTGGGACTTTCTCTGAGAGTGCATTCTTATTTCTAACTTTTCATTATGAAAATAGTCAAACACAAGTGTAGCAAGGTCTTACAAATTTATGGGGCCGGGTGCGGTGGCCTGTAATCCCAGCGCTTTGGGAGGCCAAGGCGGGCAGATCACCTGAGGTCGGGAGTTCAAGACCAGCCTGCCCAATATGGAGAAACCCTGTCTCTACTAAAAAAGAAAAAAATACAAAATTATCCGGGTGTGGTGGCGCATGCCTGTAATCCCAGCTACTCGGGAGGCTGAGGCAGGAAAATCGCTTGAACCTGGGAGGCGGAGGTTGCAGTGAGCAGAGATCGTGCCATTGCACTCCAGCCTGGGCAACAAGAGTGAAACTCCATCTCAGAAAAATATATATAGATATTATGTTTCATCATCCATTTTAAATATAAGTTGGACTTTCTCATACCAGAAGCATGTGAAACAGTTTCCAGTTCTCTGCCTCCTCCCAGTTCCTCAATGTGATGAATCCACGTATCTGCCTTACACAACTGCCTCCTGGCAGCCAACTTCCTATGGGACATATAGACACAGCCCACTTGACTCACCCTGACCCCGCACCCCAGGCGGACTATGCAGATATGACTCAACGACCACTTCTCAGTCATAACGTTAGCTGGTGGGACTCCTGCCTGCTTGCTCTAAATCCACCAATGACAACTCCTCAAGGGAAACCCATCTGGGTAATTCCCTGGATCCCAACAAAGGCTCTGGCCCACAAGTCCCTTCCCCAGTCTCCAACCCACTGGTCGAGCACATATGTCCCAGACAGCTCTCCTCTTCCCATTCGCCCTGAGGTTGCTGTCTTGTTCTCTCCAGGATCTGTAAATAATACACTGCTTCAGTTATTTCATGCATTTTCTTTTGCCTCCTCTGGGTCTTACCTGACTGACACACTCAAACCTAACTAACTTCTTTCCCATTCAGGGCTCTCCTAGAGCGTGGCTATCTTAGTAGGAATAAGCTAGACACAGGTCAGACGAGAGCACAAGTATAAGTGAGTTTCCTGTGAGAGGGACACCTGGTCACAGGTGGAGACACTCAGGCATGAGGCCGTCCACCAGGATAAAGAAGTACCTTGTGAAAGGCACATTGTAAACATCTACAACCAAATAACTACTCTCCAGAGAGAGACCTCCAGACCAAATTAGAAAGAAAAAAAATACAACATTGTTTAAGTCGATAATAGCACAATGAACCTGATAGACCCATCACCCACCTTCATTAATTATCAATACATGACCAATCTTAGTGCATCTGTGCACCACCTTTCTGGATCATGTTAAAGCAAATCCCAGGTATCGCATCATTTCATCTATAATTATCCAGCTATGTCTCTAAAGGAATGAGGACTTTTTAAACACATAGCCACAATACCATACTAACATCTTTAAAAAATAATTCCTCAATATCACCAAATATCCTGTCAAAGTTTACCTTTCCTCATGAATCTTAGAATTTTTTAACAATTTGTTTAAATTGGGATCCTATTGAGGTGCCACACCGTGCAATTTGTTGTTATGCCCCTTATTATAAGACTCTTTTAATTTATAGCTTGCCCCCATCATTGCTTCTTCCTTGCAATTTTTGTTCAATAAACCATGTCATTTGCCCTTAGCATTTGACACAGTCTGGATTTTGCTGATTGCATTCCTGCAGTGCTGGTTGCCTTGTGTGTGTGCATGTGTGTGCACACACGTGTGTGCCTCATATTTCTTGTCCTGTAAAATGAAATTAGATATAGAGGCTTAGTTCAGATCAGTTTTTTTTTTTTTTTTAGGGTTTTTTGGTTGTGTTTTTTTGGCAAAAACTTCAAAGGTGGTCGTATATACTCCCATCAGGAGTGACATAAAGTCTGGTTGTCCCTCGTTTTGTGATTAGCCGCCATTGGTGATGATCACCTATGGCAGTGTCTCAACCAAAGGTGATTTTACAGTCCCAGGGAACATGTGGCAATGTCTGGCGATGCTGGATGCTACCGGAATCCAGTGGGTAGAGGCCAGGGATGCTGCTGAATGTCCTGCAAAGCACAGAACAGCCCCCACCACAAAAGGATGATCTTACCCAAAATGTGACCCGTGCTAAGCTGAGAACCCCAGGGCTGGATCCATTTACTCATTTGGGGTTGCAAAATGTTATATTCTATTTCTGTCATTTACTTTTTATTTGTTAGCTGGCACACTTATATAAAGAAAAACTTCCTAATCAATTACTTGGTTTTCCTGAGGTGGAATTCATATGGTAAATGTAAGTAAGTGCTCAATTCTTTCATTTATCAGTTATCAAAATAATGAGGCAGTTTTCTAGACTCCTCCAAAGGTGACCAATGAGATTCTTTGTTTTTTTAAGAATCATTTATGAACTCATAGGTATAAAGGAATTGGATGTGTTGTAATCATTTGCAGTAATTATCTTACTGACGCCTAAATTGTCCTGTCTTTAGATAGTATGAGCTTCTTCAAATTGGTTCCTGAGTCTTTTTGGCACAGCCTATTGTGCTTTAAAAGCCTGCTTGCATTTTGGGATTATAAGATTCTCTAGGCACATCTTACATATTTGCTGTCCTAGACTGGAATCTACCACTTCTTCAAGGACCTTTGGTTACTTTAAGTGGTATTTAGTGATCATCACTGGGGCTTTAGGGGGACTCATACATTTTAAGACACACATAGCCCTCATAATATTAGATTTCACTCTAAGGATGGAATTTTCTGAGCTATATTTTACACACAGAAAAACTGGGACTCAAGAGAGTGGTTTTACCCCAACTCAAACTCAAAGCAAATGGAAAATTTTGAAAGCTGGCAATATATATCCACTCCTGTCTCCAGATTCTTTCTCTCCATCAGTAGGGCTGGGAATTGAACAGACTGTTTCCAAAGCCCAATAGTGAGGAGACAATGATAAAACAGACAGGATCTTGGAGACCAAGACAACATGGAACTGGAGTTCTGAGGCCCTCAGGCCTCTGGTCCCTCTGAGGCCAGGACTCTTTCAGGCCCCTTCTTCTTCGCTGAATTGGCAGCACAAATGAGTGTGAGCTGGTGTTTCCTGAAGGAAACCAGTACCTATGGGCAGAGACTATGAAAAAAAGGGTGCACTAAAAGTTCCATAAGAAGTGTTGGCCGGGCGCGGTGGCTCACGCCTGTAATTCCAGCACTTTGGGAGGCCAATGCAGGCAGATCACGAGGTCGAGAGATCGAGACCATCCTGGCTAACATGGTGAAACCCTGTCTCTACTAAAAATACAAAAATTAGCTGGGCATGGTGGTGGGCACCTGCAGTCCCAGCTACTTGGGAGGCTGAGGCAGGGGAATCGCTTGAACCTGGGCTAGCCTCGCAACAGAGTGAGATTCCGTCTCAAAAAGAAAGAAGGAAGGAAGGAAGGAAGGAAGGGATGGATCAACTTTACCTAAAATGTAGGGAGGTGAAGAAGGGATCCCCTTTGATATTAAAAAATCAAAGACATCATTTTACATTAAAAACAGATCGATGATGGAATAGCATGCAAGATTTACCATTTGAACGTTAAAAGATGTGACTTTGAAGAAATTCCAGGTCCCACTGAACTTGCTGCTTGACTCCTGGGATGCAGAGTCAGGGTCCTCTGCAATCAGCATATTTTGGGGGAGAAGGTGAGAAACTGTGGGGCAATTCTGAACCCACTCTGTGCCAGTAAAAGGGTCTCTTCCTTTATTATAAATTCAGGAAATTTAACTTACATTGAAGAGTCAAAAGATAGGTTATTTGTTTAAAGTCAAGAATTCTTTTATGTAGGGAATTGTTAGCCCTAAATTTCTCCTCTCTTAAAAACTTTAATATATAGGAGTTACCTATCTTGGGTTTAAGCAGAAGCATGTCAGTTTGAGAACAGCATTAAACCATTCTTGGAACAAGGCAGGTTATATATTAGATGTAATATATAGGTGGAAACACACCTGCTGTCTGCAAACACATCCTTCCTCTGCCCACCCAAAAAGGCCTGGATTTTTTTTTTTTTTTTTTTTTAAGCCCTGCAGCCACCTCTGAGTGAGCTCAATAAAAACCTCCACTGCCCAAGTGATGAAATCAGATTAGCATGCTCCAGCTCTGATGTTCTGTGCTGAGGGAATTGGAAGGAGTTGATAATGTGGAGTTGGCTATTTTGCATTTCTCAGTGACATCCTCTAATGAGCTGGCAATGCCCAACACCAGGCTGCTGTCTTGGAGAGATGAAAACAATACAGTGGTCATTTCACATCCTATCATCCTCATGACAACCCACGAGCTACCTACTCCTTGCCTTTGATTAAAATACACAGGATCGGCATGAGGACTGGAGAGCATGAGCCCCGAGAGGGAAAGGGACCAAAGAGGGCTCCATGGAGAAAAGGACGCAGCACCCTAAGGAAATACACATTTTTAAAAACCGCAGCAGTCAAGGGTGACTAGCCTTGGTGTTCCCTGAAATATGCATTATGGAGAACTGTGAGCTATGATGCCTGATTAACTCTCTCCAGTAGAACCGATGAATGGTTTTGCCAAGGAGATCCATTTCTATTTTGTGGTTCGATCCCTACAGCAGTGCAAATTACAGGGGTGAAGTTACCAAGGCAGAAATCCAGCTGCTGTACATTGGGACAACTGGACTAGCTGTTAAGATATTGAAATACTGCCTACTGGTTGACCAAAATACACTCCCCAAGTCCTTCTCCCACCTACCTTTCTTCCCCAAGCTGTCCCTACCCTTCTCTAAAACCCCCAGATGATCCCAACTCAGCAACTCTACTAACTGGGCAAGGGCTGGCACAAGAGGAGCCTGCCAGTGCCCTGACTTAGCATGATAGGTGGCTTCCATTCTCATGGGTCAATGCCACTGCCAGGCTCGCTGTGAAGCAGTCTCCATATTTGATTAGGAAGCCCCATTAGACTTCCTAGCACTGCTGAGCCTTCTCAGAACCCTGCCAACAACCCACAGGGACAGGTCAGGGCCCTGCAGGGTCGTGCTGCTCACCCATATCCTCCTATCCCCCATCCTTGCCTCCTACAGAAGGAGTGCCCACCGGCCCCGGTGGAAGAACAAAGGAAGTAAAGGGCTGCAATCATTCTGGCTCCCAGAGGCCTGGATAACCTTCAACATGCTTGGCAGGCTTATCATTAGGATTTTTTTTTACCGCCCTTTCCTTGTCGCCAGCCCTCTTTAAGCTTCCTAAATTAATAATGATGAAGTTCTTTAAACCATATCTCCAGTCTTTGTTTTTGATGATTTTCGCTCTCTGGGGCCTTTTTCTCCCCCTGTGGAAGCCGTTTACCATTCTCACCTTCATTTTTGTCCATTCTTCTCAGATATCCACAGTGATAATCACCGATTAGGTCATTTTAAAAAGGAAACACAATTAAAAAAAGAAAGCAAGCCTCATTTAGGCACTGCTGAGTCAAACATCGGGCCAGGAAACAATGTGAAATGTCATGGGCTATTTTTCCCAGTGAGAGGACAGATGAAGATGAAGAGGATGACGTGTCTCTATAGGATCACGTATAACATCAAGCATGTAGCAGACAAGGGGACACGGGGGTCAAGACCAACACTTGAACCTGAGCTTGAGTTTGTCTGTGTAACGATGGGGGAAATGTGCCCCTAAAGCAATCAGATCATCCCAAGTAGGTAACTCTCTGCTTTGGGATATGCATCCATCCTTTCTCCGCAATTAGAAAGATGAAACTACCAGGTTTAACAAAGTCATTCTTCGTTCTCCTCCTCCGACCTACTTCCTTTGTATTTCTGCATCATTAGACTTTTCTTATCTCACTGAAGAAACCACAGAGAAGGAGTGTTCCAAAGGACCTTGGGCGGCCCACCTGGCAAGGGAGAGCTTCACTGTGCAACTTCAGCCTTGGGCAGAAGCCAGGGATTCCAGCTGTCAACCTTCCAACCCAGAAGGGGAGTGCTGTCAGCTGAAGTGGAAAACCAGAAAGTCTTAAAGAAAGGAGGATGTATTTAAGAATCACTCACCACTCTGCAACAGGATTTAGCTTTTCCAATTCAATCCAATTCAAGAGAGATGTGTCAGAACCTGTGCACAGTGAGGGAATTTTAGAATTGCAGAAGACAAGCTCCCCCTCAGGGAATAGCTCATTGTTTGGCCAGAAGACAGCTAAAGCTAGCCAGTCTGTAAAACAGTCATGATTGTAATGATATGTGTTCACCAAATCCAGTTCATTCTCTTGCAGGGCACTCAGCTAAACACTCCTGAGTATCCCCTGCAGTGCCTGGTGTGTGAGCTCTGGCTAAGGGAATATGGACAGGAGAGTTAAATGCCACTTCCAAGCCTGACCTCCAAAACCCTTCCCACAGTCTCTCACATGTTGTCTCTTCCCCATTAACCAGCAGAGGACTCTGGTAGTGGAGCTTAACTGTGCTCCACTAGCAGGACCAGAGCTAAGATTCTGCTAGGTAAAGAAGAGGGAACTGCAGGCACCCTGGCCCAGAGGCCTGACACCTGATGCAGCCAGGAGAATAAAGGTAAAGAGCCCCACAGGAGAGAAAGGATTCTGAGTCTCTGAAAAACTGCAAAGAGAAGAGCCTCCCAGCCCAACCCACACTCACACACACACATACACAAGCTGCACTGGGCTGTGATATGAATAAAAGATAATCACATTGTGTTAACCCACTGAGATTTGGGGGTTGTTTGTTACAGTGGCTAACGTTACTTACTCTAGCTAACATACTCTTAGGTTTTATTAACAGATGGGATGAGATAATGCATGCAAAGTGCCCAGTTCTATGTCTGATATACAGTAGGTCCCTAGCATAGCACTCTACCTGAAACATGGTAGGTGCTCAGTAATTAAGGGTTATAAAAAGTCAACCAGTTGCTTTTCTTAGAGGCCCTAGAGACAGCATCGTAGCCAACATGAGCCTTTTGTAGCTGATGAGAAAGACAAAGCTCTCAGTATGGAAAACCAGTGAAAACACAGGGACAGATCTACAGGGAAAGTGGTTAGAGAAAAGGCACACGGGGAAAATTTTTTATAGGAATAGTCATCTGCTATGAAGTGAATGTTTGTGTCCCCCTGAAATTCATATGCTGAAATCTAAATCTCTAATGCCCTGATTTGAGGAGATGGAGGCTTTGGGAGGTAATTAGGTCATGGGGATGAAGCCCTTGTGAATGGGGTTAGTGTTATTTATAAGAAGAAACAGGAGAGCGTGATCTCACTCTCTGCTCTCCTCCACATGAGGACACAGCAAGAAGACACCCTCTCCAAACCAGGAAGTGAGCCATCACCAGACACCAGACCCACCAGCACCTTGATCTTGGACTTCCCAGCCTCCAGTGGGCAATAAATGTTTGTTGTTTAAGGCACCCAGTCTGTGATAATTTATTGTAGCAGCCACATCTAAGACATCACCATATACATTTTCATCTGACTTCTCCTTCTGGACCCTGGTAAATACTCCATCAAATCAGTCAGCTCTCTCGAGTCCCCTTTTCCTTGCCTTAGCCCTACCAAGGCCCTGAGTCTTTCTCTCTCTTGCATGGTCTAAGTGTTCCTCAGTTTTGGCTGCTTCTTCCCCTAGAACAAGACCCCCTTCCCAGCCTTTGCCTGGCCCCTGCTGAACGTAGCCACCCTGGCTTATTTATAAAGTAGCTACTATGTGCAAGGTCTGGCACTAAATAGGTACCAAGCAAGGACGGTGAGAGTGGTCAGCCTTGGGTGCAAAGCAACAAGAGGGCACATTGTAGAAAATGTAAACACCAGGATGACACTAAGTGTCAGTATGCTTTTTATGATCACTGTATGAAGGCAATCCTAAATGATGTCAGCAACGCAGACTACTTCCTGCTGGGATGACTCCCCCTCATAACCCACACAGCCTTTGGAATGTCATTGGAGAAAAAGTCTAAAGCTACCTAGTCCCTGCCCTCAAGTTGCCTGTAGCTCAGCAGCAGAGAATGACAGCTAAATGAATCAAGAATGTGAGGAGCAACAAATGTCAGGGAAGGCTTTGCCAAAGAAATGGTAGTGGAGCTTAACTGTGCTCCGCTAGCAGGACCAGAGCTAGGATTCTGCCAGGTAAAGAAGAGGGAACTGCAGGTACCCTGGCCCAGAGGCCTGACACCTGATGCAGATAGGAGACTAAAGGTATAATAGTTCCCTGTGGCTGGAGGTAAAGAGGCACTGGGCAAAAAGACCCCTGCAGATGATCAGAGCAGAGAGGCTGGTAGAAATCAATTCCAGAAGGGCCTATATCCTGTTGGTAATGACGAACCAGCAAGGCATTTTTCTTTCTTTTTTAAAACTTTATTGAGATAGAATTCAGTTCAATGGCCTTTTTTCTTCATTTCTCACCAAAATCAATTTTAGAATCTTTTCACTGCCCCAAAAGAAACCCTGTACCCCTTTGCTGTCACTTTCCAATCCTACTCTTGGGCACAAACATAGGAGCAGCAAAAGGTTTTTTAACAGAAGAATCATAAAAGTCTATTTTCATTTTTAAAAGAGCCCTCCTTGACCTGCCACTGCCCAAGGCCTGGCAGGGCACATGCAGACACAATGCTGTGGTCTGACTGTGTCCTCCAGATTTCATATGTTGGAAACTTAGCCCCCAATGTGGCAGTATTGAAAGGTGGGGCCTTTAGGGGGTGATTGGATTATGAAGAATTGTGCCCTCAGGAATGGATTAATCCATTTGTAGATTAATGGGTTAATGGATTAATGGGTTATCATGGGAAGGAAACTGCTGACTCTATTACAAGAGGAAGAGAGACCTGAGCGAGCCCATTAGCACACTCAGCCTCTGCCACATGATGCCCTGCAGAGCATCCCTTGCCTGTCCACGCTCTGCAGAGGCCTCACAAACAAGAAGGCCCTCACCAGCTGCAGCTTCTCAACCTGGGACTTCTCAGCCTCCATCACTGTAAGAAATAAATTCCTTTTCTTTATAAATTACCCCGTTTCAGGTATTCTAAGTAACAGAAAATTCATTCGTACCCATACTCACTACTTCTTGCATCATCCTCAGGATGTAAGGACCTACCTGGGGCTCCAGGACTCTCTTTCCTCACCAGCTGCAGCCTCTCAAGTGCTTGCACCTGCACACCCAGCCCACCCGCACCCAGACCCTGGTTTCCTGCCTTGGCAAGAAGCACGTAAGGAGAACATAGCTGGAAAGGTTTTTGCCTCAGGCAGGGTTGACACATTTGGGTTCTGCTTCCTGGTGACTGAACTTAGCACAGCATCCTCTGAGATTCCCTACCTCTTGGCTTGCTCATTACTTCAGAGAGTTAACTTCCTCCCCCTCCAAACCGTCCTTCCTTACCCATGCTGTCAAATCATACTTCTCCCCCTTCTGCAAATGAACAAAACCTACCATAGCAGTAATCACAGGATTCCCTGTAGTTTCCTCGGGACCCCTGCAGGGGAGGTATTAATTGTCCTCATTTTTTAAATGGAGACACTGAGGCTCAGAGAGTTCACATGTTGTTCTTAATGCTACACCACAGGTAAGGGGCAGAGCCAAACTTTCAGCTGCAGGGGTAAGATACTGTCATCGCTTAGGACTGCTTTCAGCTGCATGTAACAAAACTGATATCACAGCTTAGTCAAATGGGGATGATGTTTTCTCACCTAACAGTAACTCCTAGTGAGGTACTGATACAGCACATCTGTGATGTCAGCCAAATCTCAAGTTCCTTGTGTTTTTCAGTTTTTGCCATCCTTAGTACGAGACTTTCATCTTCATGATCAAAATTTTTACTTATGACTCTACATTTTTATTAGAAAAGCAATGGCTTTCCTAGAAGCCCCATTCAATAGCCTTCTCTTATATCTCATTGGTTTATTAAGAATATGTAGCATTCCTGCTACAAACAAAACTAGCATTCATTATTACCAAGCGAGAGAGGAGATAGGATACCGGGTAGGGAACCTACGGTGTCAATGCATTTTCCTCCTGGCCACACCACCTCACCTCTAAACAGAATCCAGCCCCTCTGCATCAGGCACTATTGCCTGGCCACCCACTCCTGCTTGCAAAGATACGCTGGGGGTAAGCCACAAAGTGGAGCCTCTCTTGATCATTAGGGTTATTGGCTCACTGCACATTCCCATGGAAAGGAGAGAGGTGGGTCATTTCCTTTGGTTCAGCAGCTGGTCCTCACTTTGGGAAGAGTTAGAAAGCCCTAGGAATGTGCCAGGCCCTCAACTTTGCGGCAAAAATCACAGCTTCTCTAGGCCTTAATGGAGAAGGATCTGATACACTGATTTCCAGGCCTGCCAACAACCCCTCCTGCAGAAACTTCAGAATTTCAAGAGGACTCAAGTATAAGTGATGTATTAATCACCATCTCGAGATGAATAGAAAAGATCTGAGCAGCATTAACTTGGAGTTCAGGGGAGGGGGACAAGGGAAGCGTGGGTGAGATGAGGAGAAGAGGAGCCTCTTAGGTGACAATGAAATACAGCGAGTACTAGAAACATCCAAGTTCATGGGGGCGTTAACTTTACAGCAGATGCGTCTATCTTGTCTTCCAGTCCCTCCAGTTGAATGGGCCCTTGTGGCCAAGGAAGCTTGAACATGTGATATTTGACAATTAAAAAAAGAGCTTTGGCAGGGTCAGTCACCCCCATGAAGCAAGCCAGGCCAATGCTCCTGAGGCCAGGTCAACAGGGAGGTGATGAAGTGTTAAAACACTCTCCCCATGTCCCACCCTTCTAAACAAGGCATAATATGAACATTAACTCAGCGTGCTCTCTCTGGGTTGGGACTGCCCGTCCCACTCACTGATGATTAAACCTATGAGAAGTCTTGCTAAACATTAAATCATCTTGGATTTTAAGCAAACACCCTTCAAAACTGAGTCCCTGGAGGAGAAAGTGTAACTTTACACAGGAAGTCCTGTGTTGTGGAAAGAGTGCAGGCTTCAGGGGCAGCCCCTGGGATCTAGACTGGCCATGAGTCTCTCTGGCCATCCATTGGTCTCCTCACCTGTAAAATGAGAAGGGTTTGAATTAACAGAGATTAGGGATCATTTCTGGTTCTGATTTTATGTGTTCTATTGCACTAAAATACTCCGGTATTTTCTTTTAGTATGAATTTCTTCAGAAAATGTACATTAATCAAAGATATTCATGACAATAACATTTGAATAGTTACTACCACCAGCTCTTACAAAGCACTTTTACCTGTTGACTCTTCATCCTCGCAGGAATCCTATTGCAGGGTACTATTGACAGATCCAGTCTACTGACGAGGGAGCGAACGCAGATGAGTAGACAACCACTCCATTCCCCCTTGCGCGTCTCAGAGGCATCTCCAATGGAAGAAGTCTGAAACTGAACTCCTGACTCCCCCTCCCCACCCCACCCCACCCAAACCTACTCCTCTCCTCATCTTCCCTACTCCATCAATGGCAACCCCGTTCTTCATAATATCCAGGCAGAAAGCTTTCAACCTTCTCCTGCCTCTGATTCATCTCAAGTCATGTCAATTTCGCCCTCAAAATATGTCCAGAACCTACTGTTTCTTTACCACCCCTGCGTGACCACTTGGGCCTAAGCCTCCATCGTGTGTTGCCTGGGCCATTGCGAGAGCCTTTGGAGTGGGCTCTCTGTTTCTACCCTTCCGTTTTCCATCACACATACACACATACACGCATGCACACGTACACACACGCACGCACACGCGCACACACATGCACACGCACACATGCACGCATGCACGCACACACATGCACGCACACATAGTATATTCTCTATACAGTAGCCAGAATCATCCTTTGTGATATGTGAGATTATGCCATTCCTCTGCTCAAAACTTTCAGTGGCTTCCCACCTCACTCAAGATAAAATTCAGTGATCTTACCCTTGCCTACAAGGTCCTCCAAGGTCTCCCCACACCCACCTGTTTGCTGTCCTCTCTCGCCCACCTCCCCACCCACGCCACCTCCCCAACCCTTCCGCCCCAGGCTCAGTCTCCCCTGCCACACCAGCCCCTTTACCCTTCTCAAACACAACAGGCCACTCCCTGTCTCAGTCCTGGCCTGGTCAGCCCTCCCCACAGATATGCAAATGGATTTTCATTCAGGTCTCTGCACCTCACCAAAAAGACTTTCCCTGACTACATAAAGCAGCACCTCTCCTATCTGTGTCCCCATAGCTTGGTTGATTTTTCTTCTTTGGATGCGTCTCTCCTGACACATTTTGTACCATGTTTCATTTATTGCCCTTTTCCTCCTAGACTTTGTTGCTTGTGCTCACTGTTGAATCCCCAATGCCTAGAACAGTACCTGGCATTTTAAAAGTCTCTCAATAAATATAGGTAGTCTTTGTTATCTGAATCCAATCCTTCTCTGAAATTCTACCACAAAGTGAACTTTTGGCGGCAAGAGCTTATATTCTATTACATCAAAGAAAAAAATAATAATGCATTCTCTATATCACCTATATTCTTAATCACCCATAAGACAATCCACTGTGGATTTCTGCATGATATGATACAAGGCATTTAAAACACTAATTACCTAATTATTTGACACTTAGTGAGCTCATTAGTGGGTGTGTTTGTATGTAATATGCTATAATACTGAAAGAATTACCTTTTCCTTCTACACTGAAAAAAGTCATGTATTGTAAAAAATAAAATGATTTCCTAAAGATATGTAATGAATGCAAATATAATTACCAAAATGAATAAACATTTTTAAACAATTATTTACTGAATGAAGAGTTACTTGTGTGCAAACTGGACATCACTGTTACTGTTAGGACAGTGGAGAGAGCTAAATCAAAGTGAGCTGGGGAAAAAGCAAATGAAACCATCAACACCCAAGGTTCATCCATTTCCAAATCGAGGAATGTCCAACTCATTCCTCGATAGTAGGCACCTCCTCTTCTTGGCATTCAGGATGCTGCAAGTGAATAGAGGTCTGTGAATCTTTGTCAAAATCTGTAAATGAGGCAATGAGGTTTTTTTTTTTTAAACAACACTCAAAATAGACATCTGTTCTAACTATGTGATTATATAATTTATTATCTACACAGAAATAATTTTGAATGTGAAAAAGAGAAAAATAAAATTGTATATATATATTTTTAGATCATAAATTTTTTATTATTATTATACTTTAAGTTCTGGGACACATGGGCAGAACGTTCAGGTTTGTTACATAGGTATACATGTGTCATGGTGGTTTGCTGCACCCATCAACCCATCATCTAGCTTTTAAGCCCTGCATGCATTAGGTATTTGTCCTAATGCTCTCCCTCCCCTTGCCCCCCACCCCCCAACAGGCCCCGGTGTGTGATGTTCCCCTCCCTGTGTCCATGTGTTCTCCATTGTTCAACTCCCATTTATGAGTGAGAATATGCAGTGTTTGGTTTTCTGTTCCTGTGTTAGTTTGCTGAGAATGATGGTTTCCAGCTTCATCCATGTCCCTGCAAAGGACATGAACTCAAAATTATATTTTTAAAGCATGCATTTATAGATTGACAAATTGGTTTTGTACAACAGTAGGTATATAAAATACTTATAGTCAAAAATTATCTTCAAAGGGAAAATCATTTCTAAAAATAAAAAAATCAATGTACATTAAAGTACAGGTTTTTTTAAGTTATAGGTTGATTTGCTTAAACATAAAAATAATATAAACAGGAGGCAAAAGAAAATGCATGAAATAACTGAAGCAGTGTACTATTTTGGTTCATAATTATCATAATCAGTTTTGAAGTCATATCTATATTTGATATCATGTCACTGGTATCTTTCTTCTTTTTTTTTTTCAGACGGAGTTTCACTCTTGTCACCCACGCTGGAGTGGAGTGGCGTAATCTCCGCTCACTGCAACCTCTGCCTCCTGTATTTAAGCCATTCTCCTGCCTCAGCCTCCTGAGTAGCTGGGATTACAGATGCGCGCCACCACGCCCAGCTAATTTTTATTATTTTTTTAGTAGAGATGGAGTTTCACCATGTTGGCCAGGCTGGTCTCGAACTCCTGACCTCAGATGATCCACCCGCCTCGGCCTCCCGAAGTGCTGGGATTCCAGGCATGAGCCACTACTCCTGGGCCCATCACTGGTATCTTTCTAAAGAAAGCATTTGTGATATATGTATTTTTAATTTTTTCGTAAAATTACTTGCAGTCTTTTTCAAAGTTGAACTTTATAGTTTGTAAATCTGAAATTACTGATACTGTCAACTGACTCTTCTCAGATGACCATAGTATTTTTAATAAAGAAAATACTCTTTCTACAAGTGCTGCAGCACCTTGTAAGCTAAGAATTAATTCTGGTCAACAGAAGACATTCCCAGTTCTATTTCTTTTTTCTTCCTGAAGTATGTTAATATTTCAGTTCAAATCTTTTCACGGGTACCATCTTTTTATCTCCATACAGAGAAACTTTCACAAAGATTTTACAAGGCAAAACTCATCAAACAAGTTGTTTCTATTTAGGATTTTTTTAAATGTTTTGCCAAATTTAGATGCTTAAAAATCATAGACCTCTGAATTTTATTCCATTCCAGTATAGAACATAAATTTATCCAATTAAATATAAAAGTTCCATCAAAATATCCTTCCCATAAATCAAGATATTTCAAAGCATAACTGTTTAATCTCAAATGTAACTTATTTAAGTTGTTTATCCTTTGGCTTTGTAGGTCGAAGGTTAGTTTTCAATAATTACATTTTCCTAAAAGCTTCAAGAGCTGAAGTCTTTTGGCTCACCATTCCTTGACTACTTGATGAAAAATTACCAACCAGTTTTGAACAAAAAGCAAGCACAATTTAGAGGCCTCGTTTTTTTTTTTAAAAAAAAAGTAAAAGGTCACTGTATATTGCAGTATGCTTGAGCTGATTTACAAATAATCCTTCAAAGGTTCAAACATTTCTAAAATCTAAGAACATGCAGGAGGGAAGAAAAAAAGCACATGCCACCAGGCTGCAGCGTTTTTTTAATTCAACATCGTCTCTATCACAAATATTTTGTAGTTCAGTTTCTCTGTGTATAAATAAAAATACTTATAATGTTTGTCAACTATAGCTTCTATTTTGCTGGTAGACTATCACAGCTTGTTTGGATGCAATTATGAACCCTGAACGCACTACATCTAATTCCAAATATATTTCTGTTCCATAGATTTCTTAATTTAGTAATAACACTATTTTTCCCATGATTCTGTACTCCATGAAAATCTATATTTATAGTACCTCCTCCATCTTAATTGTTGAATGTTTTAAGTGAAGTTATAAATTACAGTATGAGAGGCTATATCTTTGACAGGATGAACTTTCAAAAGCTTTCCTTTGAGTCCTTGGGCTCAAAAAAAAAATCAAACCATTATTTAAATTAACTGATTTTCTCTACAAGAAATGGATCTAAATCTGCATCGTTTAACTGTTTATAAAAATCTTCTTCTACTGATAGAGCCATTCCGTTAGTAGCTATCACTTTTCTTTCCCAATGCTCACAAGAAAAAGTGAAATTAAAATTAAGCAAAATTAATTTAGAAGAAAAAAATCACTACCTAAAAAGTCATACTACCCAGAGTGATATATAAACATAATTGCTTAAATTATCAGCTCGGTCATAATCTTCCTAAAATAGCTATTAGTTTTTGAAATAGCTTTTCCATAACAATTTGTCTTCTGGGTGTACCTGTGGTCAGTGATATGACTACAGCCACTGAGTGTATGGCAAATGTTGACAAGCATTTCTGCAAGTTGTACATCATCATCAACATTCTTTAGAAAAGATTATTTCATACTTAATTTTTTATGAAACATGCACTTTTTTGTTGTTGCTGTTGTTGAGACAGAGTCTCGCTCTGTCGCCAGGCTGGAGTGCAGTGGCGCGATCTTGGCTCACTGGAATCTCCGCCTCCAGGGTTCAAGCGGTTCTCCTGCCTCAGCCTCCCGCATAGCTGGGACTATAGGCACCCACCACCATGCCCGGCTAATTTTTGTATTTTTAGTAGATACGTGATTTCACCATATTGGCCAGGCTGGTCTCGAACTCCTGACCTTGTGATCCGCCTGCCTCGGCCTCCCGAAGTACTGAGATTATAGGCATGAGCCACCGTGCCCAGCCCTAAACATGCACTTTTTTTTTTTTTTTTTTTTAGCTCAATGCTGCTGAAAGGGATTTGGCTTTGCACAAAGCAAAATTAGAAAAAAAACAAAACAAAACAGTATTATCACAATAAGGTAAATACATAGGTTATAGATGTATAATATATATTAGATGACAAACTACTGACGTAGTAACTGCAAGAGCATTCAGACCATTCTGTCTGCGCTCCACAGTGGAACTTTTGGCCTCTATTTCTCATGCATGTTTCACATACACCAAACCTAAGACATCTCATATTTCCCTGTGTCAGCAATGACTCCATGTCCTGGTGGCTCTACCATCTCTGACAGGCAGAGGCTCGGGCCATGGACAGCGGAGCCAGCAGGGGCAGCACCAATAACTTAGACCAGAAGGAGTTCATTGTCCCCGGCCACTGGGTTCTGAGTGAAACAGACTCTCCCTCAGAGCCCTCTCCTGAAATCTCCTCATCGTGTGATCTTGGACATGTTACTTAACCTTAACATGCCTCAGTTTCTTCATTTGGAAAACAAGTATGATATTATTCGTCCTTAAAAAGGCATGAAGTGGTGATACATGCTACCCCATGAAGAAACCTCAAAAACATGAGGTTTAGCTAAGTGAAAGAAGCCAGACGCAAAAGGTAACATATGATATGCTTTCATTTCTATGACATGTCCAGAGTAGGCAAATCCACAGAAATGGGAAGCAGATTGTGGTTTGTGGTTACCAGGGCTAAGGGAGAGGAGAATGAGGAGTCAACTGCTTAATGGGTGTTGTAGGTTGAATTGCGCTCCCCCGAAAAGCTACGTTGAAATTTTAATCATTAAGTACCTCAGAATGTGACATTATTTGGAAATAGGGTTTTATGGAGGTAATCAAGTTAAAATGAGGTCACTAGTATGGTCCCTAATCTAATATGAATGGTGTCCTTGTAAAAAGGGGAAATTAGGACAGAGAAAGATGAACAGAGGCAGAGGGAAGACAAGGTGCAGACACACAGACAGAACACTATTGGGAGATGGAGGCAGAGACTGGACTGATGCCGCGGGAAGCCAGGGATCACCATGATTGCTGTTCACACCAGAAGCCAGGAAGAGGTGAGGAAAGATTCTACTCAGAGTCTCAGGGAGCATGGCCCTACAGACACCTTGGTTCCAGACTTCCAGCCTGTAGAACTGTGAGACAATACGTTTCCACTGTTTTAAGCCACTAACACAACAAATACAGGGTTTCCTTGTGGGGGTGATGAAAATGTTCTGGAACCTCATAGAAGTAGTGGTTGAACAATGTTATGAATGTATTAGATGTTGTTGAATTTTTCATGTAAAAAGGGTTAATTTTATGTTAAGTGGATTTCAACTCAGTAAACTCACACATGTGCACACACACATATATCATCTAGTGTGGTAGTGTGGTGTTGTAAGTATTCAATGAGTCAACTCATAGGAATTTAGAACAGTCCCTGAGATACAGTAATCCCTCAATAAGTGTTAGTTAGTATTACTATTTTCAAGAGTCTCTCTCCAAACTTCCCACCTCTAGCCATCAAATAATCAGATAGCAGCAACTAATTCCCTCACCTGTTTTCCTTTTATGCAGAGTATTTTAGCTCTCTCCTGCCAGACCACGCCATGTATATTAGGGTTCTCATAGAAGAACAGAACTAATAGGATACACACACACACACACACACACACACACACACACACACACACATATATATAAAGGGGAGGTTATTAAGTATTAATTTACAGGATCACAAGGCCCCACAATAGGCTGTCTGCAAGCCCTGAGGAGCGACAAGAGCCAGTCCAAGTCCCAAATCTGAAGAACTTGGAGTCTGATGTTCAAGAACTTGGAGTCTGATCCAGCACGGGAGAAAGATGTAGGCTGGGAGGCTGGGCCCATCACATCTCTTCATGTTTTTCTGCCTGCTTTACATTTGCTGGCAGTTGATTAGATGGTACCCACCCGATTAAGGGTGGGTCTGCCTTCCCCAGCCCACTGACTCAAATGTTACCCTCCTTTGGCAACACCCTCACAGGCATACCCAGGATCAATATTGCATCCTTTAATCCAATCAAGTTGACACTCAATATTAACCATCACACCAGGTGAGTACTAAGTCTGACATGTCTTCTCTTCACATCAACTGGCCCATCAAGTCACTTTCCCAAGAGTTTCACAGCCGCAAGATGAATTATACCCCGCTCACAGCCCAACCTTCTCCACCAGGTATTCAGAAACTAGCTTTGGCCAAATTTATAAAAATGGCAATAATTTCATCCCAACCCACTAGAGTCCGTGTGTGAAAATGAACCCATTTCACTACTACCAAATGACAAGCACTTTCAGTCATCCTCCTGCCACTAACAGGTCATTCTCTAGGCTGTGATGGCAAAGCCAGCAAGGCCAGTTGCCCACGTGGAAATCAGACCCACAAGGGCACTGGGTTCCAACCAAGTGGGTTTACTGTCCTCTACTTGGTTCATTACATGAGGAAAAAGCCCAAGTGGGTGGACTGTTGATCTGTTAAAATGGTTTAAGACCCAGAAGAACTAAGAATCAAGACCTTGATTCTAGAGAATTAAAAAACACAGAAAAATCACTTGAGAACTTGAATGTCTTCTTGCTCCTCACCCCACTCTTGAGAATTACAGAAGAGAAAGACAGAGAGCTTTGCTAAGTGTTGAGAAACCAGCTTTGGAGAGATCTGGTACTTTGTACAAGTGGGAATGATCATAGGAGGAAAGGAAAGGAAGAAATTGTACAAGGACACCAGAGCAATGAAAAGAAAAACTCGAGGAGACATGTTAGACCATAGTAGCTGATTTGAATCAAGCAAGACATAGATTTGGGGCAGGCGTTTCTGAAAACACATGCCTCAAATTGTATTTCACAAAATTGCTGTTAATGCCCTACAACTTGTAACATGCTGCACCTTCAGGAAGACCCTTTTGTATTATTAATATTTTATTGTTTTTATAGTAGGCACCATAGGAGTGAGTATGTGGGAGTGAAACTGTACGGGCAAGCTCTTTACCAGGCATCCAGGTGGCAGCTCAAAGCACTAGTTTGAATGATTCCATTACAAGTTAGATGCATATTTATGCCTCAGATGCTTTCTCCTTCATAAATATTTTCTCTGGTGTCTCCATGTTCTTCCCTATCCATTTAGGGATCAGTTAACCCTATAATCAAACACTACTGCTCAAGCCATGGAAACAGACAGTGTTTCCCAAACAACAGTAAAAGGAAGAGAAATCCATCCAACATGCTATTCTTATCACAATATTAACAGGTTCCTGAGGAAAGACTTTTCCCTCACTTTGATCTGCTGAGATTACCAGAAAAATAGAGGCTACACTTAGAAAGAAAAAAAGAATCCTTACTATAGGATAGGCCAAGTGAGAAATTTTATGAGTCAAACAAGTAAGGACGATGATAGAAAAAAAAATGATGAAAATAATTGCAGCCAACATTTATGGAGCACACAGGCCAGGCCTTGCGCTGAGTGGTCTATGTGATTTATCTCACATAATCTTTCCAGCCACCCTGTAGGGTAAATGTCATTATCCCCATTTCACAGATGAACTAACTGAAACTCAGAAAACACTGCCAAGTTCCTAAGCTATTAACTGGAGCCAGCCCTCCGATTTAGGTTTATCTGATTCTAAAGTCCATGGTGCTAATTACAATGCTCCTTGCCAAAATGAAAGTTTTCACATGCCCAAGGAAAATGCTACCAATCCCCTCCCAGAGGATTCTTGCTCTTTTTGTCGAAAGATGCAATTTTTACTGCAAACAATCTGTAGCTCATATTGCTGGCATCCCAGCATGGCCAGGTCTGCTGCTCTGGAAGCAAGAGGTCATTTTCTTCTTCCTAACCAAAGTAAGCAAAGCACACTTGGTCTTTGGGCTTAAAAAAAAAAAAAAAAAAAAAAAAGCCAAGAGACATAAACAGGTGAATATAGTTGTTGCAAAGACAAATAATAAAAATGAAGCCCCTGAATGTATTGGAAGGGAAAAATGAGTGCCCTGCAGTCAAGACATAATTGCTAGAGAGCTAAAGAGAAGAAAAAGAAGGGAGAGAAAAGCCAAAAAAACAATTCAAAGCACAAAATAAAGGCAGAGAAAAGTAAATGCTTTTCTTGGATAATTAAAACCAGGGTCTTACAAGATATGAAGTTAGATACTCGGTGAATTATATATTTCTAATTCCTCTCCCTAAGTGCCACAGGCTAGAGACAGCCTCCCAGGTATTAATGAAAAGGCCACAGCATGGTGCCCTAAATTCACTGCGGTGTGCCTAACCTAACAAAATACGCTCGAAAACCCAGGGAAATGGCAAAGTCAATTCCTTTGATCAGTTGATTTCTTCTTAATGGTAACTGTTCTCAAATTGACACCCTTCCCCCCACCCCCACTACCAATGCCATCACACACGTGCACTGCACGGCACATACACAGAGAAGGGGACAATTCAAAGAATCTTTTCTGGAAGGGTTGCTTTGTCTTTGAAAAGTGCTTTATTACTGTTAGTCAAATTTAAAACTACATTATCATCCCGCTGCTGAACTAAGGCCTCACGACTTGACACACCTAGCAAGGCTGGAGCAGTTCCAACACTTAGACCAAAATGAAGGGACAGCCCAAGACAACAGAATCCTCCTTCTGTTTTGGGGCAGCTCTTTTTCATTCCCCATTTCCAAGTCAGCAGTCCCCAACCTTTTTGGTACCAGGGACCGGTTTCGTGGAAGATAGTTTTTCCATGGACTGGCTGGTGGTGGGGGATGGTTTCAGGATGATTCAAGTGCATTGCATTTATTGTACACTTTACTTCTATTATTATCACATTGTAGTATATAATGAGATAATTATACAACTCACCATAATGTAGAATCTGTGGGAGCCCTGAGCTTGTTTTCCTGCAACTAGATGGTCCCATGTGGGGGTGATGGGAGACAGTGACAGGTCATCAAGGTGTTAGATTCTCATAAGGAGTGTGCACCCTAGATCTCTCGCATGCAGTAGGGTTCGCCTTCCTTTGAGAATTGAATGCTGCCACTGATCTGTCAGGAGGTAGAGCTCAGGGGGTAATGCAAGCGAGGGGGACTGGCTGTAAAAACAGATGAAGCCTGGCTCGCCCACCTGCCCACCACTCACCTCCTGCTGTGTGGCACGGTTCCTAATAGGCCACAAACTTGTACTTGTTAGTGGCCTGGGGGTTGGTGATTCCTGTTCTAAGTGGATAAAGAGCAGGGGTGTTAAAGGCCAGTACTGCTTCACTCCCTGTTTCCTGATGCTCGGTCTCCCTTCCTCAGAATCTTCAAATCTCTGCATTCGTCTCCTTCCAAAACTTCTCTCCAACTAGGTCTAAGGCCTGATCAGACTCTGCTGATGGAGATGTGAATTAATACCATCTTTGTAGGAAGCGATTTGGCAATGTGTATTAATAATATCCTCTTCTGTGAACCACACAAAAGTACAATACATACAAAAGATTTATGCACAAAAATGCTAATTACAGAATAATTTAAAACTGGAAGGAAAAATACAGTGCCCAATTATGGGAGAATGTTTGGGTAAATAATAATCTACTTATTTATGTAAAGATATTTTTGTCATTAAAAGCGATTATAATAGGCTAAAAGTAAAAAATAGCTATGAATTCATTTACAGTATAAACTCAACTATATAAAATACCACCCACAGAATGAGGGAAAATGCTACTTGTAGTTAGCTCTAGGTGGTAGAATTATGTTTATATGCACAAGAATAAAGAAATAGTATTTTTCTCTTAGGCGTGTTTTCCTTTATTGTCCAAGTTTTCTACAACGAGTGTTGATGTCTTTTTTTTTTTTTTTTTTTTTTTTTGAGACAGAGCCTCACTCTATCACTCAGGCTGGAGTACAGTGCCACAATCTTGGCTCACTGCAACCTCCGCCTCCTGGGTTCAAGCAATTCTCATGCCTCAGCCTCCCGAGTAGCTGGGATTACAGGCCTGTGCCACCATACTCAGCTAGTTTTTGTATTTTTCATAGAGATGGGGTTTCACCATGTTGGCCAGGCTGGTCTCGAACTCCTGGCTTCAAGCCATCCACCTGGCGTGAGCCACCTTGCCCGGCCAGAATGTTGGTGTCGTTTTTTTTTTTGAGATGAAGTCTTACTCTGTCACCCAGGCTGAAGTGCAACGGCACTATCTTGGCTCACTGCCAGCTCCGCCTCCTGGTTCAAGCGACTCTCCTGTCTCAGCCTCCCGAGTAGCTGGGATTACAGGCATGTGCCACTACACCTGGCTAATTTCATTGTATTTTTGTAGAGACAAGGTTTCATCATGTTGGCCAGGCTGGTCTTGAACTCCTGACCTCAACTGATTCACCCACCTCGGCCTCCCAAAGTGCTGGGATTACAGGCATGAGCGGTGTCTTAAAGCAACAAGCTGCAGTATTTAAGGGTAGTCTTGAGTGAGAAGACCCCACCTCAGACACACCCTGGACTCCCCTAGAGCTGCCACTGAAGAGCTACGTGACTTTGGTCAGGTTACTTAATATCCCTAAAACCTCAGTTCCCCCAACAGCAAAATGATAATTTTATTGATATAAGGATTAAATGATTTAATATAGGTAAGACACTTGAAACAGTGGCACCAAGTAAACATTCAGCAAATACCCATTCTTATTAAACAATTATGGAGTGACCATAGTGTGCCAGGTTGAATGTCAAGCACTGCGGCGGATACAAAGGTGACTAAAATTGGCTTCTTATTCTTGAGGGGGAAAATAAAATGTAAAGAGATATTGTTGTTTTTCAGTATCCGTGGGTGATTGGTTCCAAGACCTTCTTGTGGATACCAAAGGCAGTATCTGTGGATACTCAAGTCCCTTAAATAAGATGGCATAGTATTTGCATATCGTCTAGGCACAGTACCCATTTATATTTTAAATTATCTCTAGATTACTTATAATATCTAATACAATGTAAATCGTTTTTTCTACTGTATTGTTTTTTATTTGTATTTCTTATTGTTACATTGGGTTTTTTATTGTCTGGGGGTTTGTTCCTGAATATTTTCTATCCAAGATTAGTGGAACCCATGAACGCAGAACTCACGGATACAGAGGTCAACGGTTGTCACAATTCCATGGGGTAAGTTCTGCGTGGAAGAGAGATACAAGATTCTGCGGGAACAGTGAAGAGAGTCCCTAACTCTGGCAAGTCAAGAATTTTCACTACCACTGGAATTAGAATCCCTCAAATAGTATTAGATCCAAATATCACTTCATCTTCATATATTTTAAGCGACTCAGTGAGAAGTGAGTGTGTCTATCTGCAGGGTAACGGGCCCCATAGGAAGGAGGTGGTAATTTGCAGATTGTGCTTATCTGCACCATCCCAATTTATTCTCACAGGACACCTATAAGACTAGTGACTTTTCAATATGGCTTAGAGAGGTAAAGTGGGCTGAAGGTCACTCAACTAAATAAAGAACAAAGATAAGACACAAACCCGGGTGCTATGAGAGAGAACTTGATGTCAGCAGAGATGCTACAGAAAGGATTTCTCTGTCAGAAGATGTTCATGTTTTCATTCATTCTACAATTTCTACTACTATTTTAGAAATGGTGTCACAGGAGGAAGAGGAAGGGGGAACTAAAGAAGATCTAAAAAGGGGGTTTTAAGCCTGCCAAACCTATGTTTGTCTACACAGTAACATTAGGATCTGAAAGATATGTTCTCTGTAAACATCTCTATTTGACAAATGAATCTTCCACACTGTGATGGGGGCAAAAGGGCTTTGGTGCCCCAGTGAATTGGTAGACAGTTGGAGAAGGCCAGATATGAGAAATAGTTTGGACAAGCTACCCCTAAAAATTCACGCTTGATATAGGAATTCTGGAATGAGGCACAGGCTACTTACTTCCTGATCGAAGGATCATTGATCCTATACTTCTTCATGCCTCCTAACTTAGGCCTACATCTGCTAACTACCTTTGAGCCTATCACTCATCCCTGAGAGTTTCTTACGTGCACACAGCTATTGAGAAGTAGCACTGTAGTCTAAAGAAAATAGCAATGAACTTGGAGACCAGTGACCTGAGATCAAACTTAGTTCAACTATTTATTAGTTGCGTGACTTAACAAATAGCTTTCCCTTCTCTGGGCTTTAGCTTTCTCTTTCATAACATTGAAATAATAATACCTACCTCTTAAGGTTGTTGGGAGATTAGATGAAATGCATTGTGTAATTTGAAGCACTCAGCAAAATGATTTGGCTCATAAATAATATTACTCACTCTTCTGAATAAAATAATGGATTCTTGGCGATACTTAAAACTACATCATCAGCCAGGCACGGTGGCTCACGCCTGTAACCCCAGCACTTTGGGAGGCCAAGGTGGGAAGATCACCTGAGGTCGGGAGTTCGAGACCAGCCTGACCAACATGGAGAAACCCTATCTCCACTAAAAATACAAAATTAGCCGGGCGTGGTGGTGCATTCCTGTAATCCCAGCTACTCGGGAGGCTAAGGCAGGAGAATCGTTTGAACCCGGGAGGCAAAGGTTGCAGTGAGCTGAGATGGCACCATTGCACTCCAGCCTGGGCAACAAGAGCAAAACTCTGTCCCCGCCCCCCCCCCCCCGCCAAAAAAAACCTACATAATCAGCATCACAGATCAGTCATATGTCAAGAGTCATATGTTCCTGGCTGCTCAGCACAAGTCAGTCAGTTGGACCATGGCTAAAGTCACTAACAGACATTTTCCATTGGAATTGGCATTACCATAAAAGGAAGAGTCTCCTTTTTATTCAACTCCAATGGCCTTCACCCAAGTTGATGGATTAATCCACTGTTTTGAACATCTAGGTCAATAATTATCGTTGTCATAGAAAACTGAAAGCTACCATAGGATAAAAATAAATCTCTACTAAAACCTACATTTCTGTATAGAATCTGTGATCCTATTAATTGCTCTTGATCAACACATTCTTCCATTGCCAAAATGGGCCTTCTTCATACAATAACAGCCAAGCAGACGCTTAACAATTTCACCAACCATAATTCTGTGCAGTCATTGTCATGAGTGATGAAATATGATTAGCAAATTACAGCTCTGGTATTTTAAGAGAACATAAAAAAATGAATGGATTGAGCTGTTTTGCATTTTTCAGTGGAATTATTTAAAAGGAGTGGGTAATGGAGAACTCAAGACTGATGGCTAAAAGAAAAGGCAAAAATAATGTTGCCACTTCACAACCTATCAACATAATTCATCTTTGTCTCCTGTCCTGAACTGTTGTGTCATGTTGCTGTTACATGGTTAAACAGCTGCTATTTATTTCTGGCATCTTTATTTTAGTTCTGGATAAACTGACCTGAAATTTTAAAAAAATTATTCTATATCGTTCTTTTTTTTTTTTGTGAATGGAGTTTTGCTCTTGTCGCCCAGGCTGGAGTGCAATGGCACAATCTTGGCTCACTGCAACCTCCGCCTTCCAGGTTCAAGTGATTCTCCTGCCTCAGCCTCCTGAGTCACTAGGATTACAAGCCACCATGCCCGGCTAATTTTTTTTTTGTATTTTTAGTAGAGACCGGGTTTTGCCATGTTCACCAGGCTGGTCTTGAACTCCTGACCTCAGGTGACCTGCCCGCCTTGGTTGGCCTCCCAAAGTGCTGGGATTACAGGCATGAGCCACCATGCCCGGCCAATTATTCTATATCTAAATGTGTAAAAATGACATCCTCATCATGAAGTTTCACATTGTGTTTTCCTTATAAATTAGGTCACTTATAACAATATATCTGGGACTTGAGCAATGAATTAAACTCCTCCTGTAGGTACAGGATGTTCCCTGTCTTATATCACATCTGCTTTACAATGAACTATATTGTTCAGGGTTCTCGGAAATCCTGTCCAAAATAAAGGTGTGTTTCTACTTTCAAATATCTTATATTGATAACAATAGTGCTTTGGAATTGCTAACTTTTTTTTATGTCTTCAAATCCTAGGCTTATCATTGTTATACCTCTCCCACAGAGTTGGCAGTCAAGCAAAATTCCATACAGCCTCTTTTATTTTCCCATTGATACCATTATAAAATTAGAGGCACATTCCTATGGAAATAAATTTGGCCCTGAAATGTAATTTTAAGATACGTTTAAGAATGCAGCATGCATTTTAAGCACATATTTCAAAAAGTAAAGATAATTTTTGTTAACTAATATATTCAAAATAGCTATACAATAAGGGAGAGGGCACTGGACTTGGGTTTAAATGCAGGCTCTACTGTTTACCAGACATGAGATTTTGAGCAAGTCATTTACCCTTGCAGAGGTAAAATTTTTCTGAAAAATAAAACTAAGAATGCTTACTCTATAGAGTCATCATAAGGATTAAGGAGCCCAGCAATATAATATCTGATCTATAATATGGATTTAGTAAAGATTACTTAAATTTAATGAGTGACTAAAAATAAACTACAAAAATAAAGTGTTGAAGCTACCATTTGGCAGTTTTTTACATAAAGTGCTAGCACTGATAAAAAATACAAAATGGTTTTTAGTTTCTGAATATTTTCAGTTCCAAGTCTCACATTGTCCATACTTTTTAAAATCCTCATTGACATTTTCCAAATTATACATATCATCCAAAAGTATACAAAATTAAATATTTCAGAAAAACATAATACAGATGATGAAAGTTTTTCATGATTATTGAATTGATAATTTTTGAGCCTGGATTCAAACCCAAGTCCAGTTAGGGTGACTACCCATCCTGCTTTGCCTGAAACTGCCCCAGTTTATGCCTGTCACCCTGGCATAAAGTATTCATTGTGCCCCTTTCACTCTCAAACGGTCTCTGTGTGGATGACAAATATGTGGCCCTTCAACCCATAAATCTGCCTCTAAAAGAGAACCCATTACCTATCACTGGTTGCAAAGTCCTCCATCTCTCTTTTTCTCTTAATTATCAGTTATTCTTAAAAAGTATTACTTGTTTCTTTTTTGCAATTTATTTTACTTTTTCCTCTTATTTTACCAATTGAATTTTTGTAGAAACATACCTCCCAAGTGTGTTAAATTTCATATTTGAAATTAGACTGCATACTTTTTGTCGTAAATATAAATTTAAGAAAAACATATATTTATATTATATATTATTATATTATATAATTGTATATATTACATATATAATCTAATGATATATAATGATATATATCTAATGATATATAATGATATATTATATTATATATATTATATATTATAATATATATAATATATATATTATATATTATAATATATAATATATTATATATTATAATTATATATAATATATATACATTATATATAAATTATATATAATATATATACATTATATATAAATTATATATAATATAAATATATTATATTCTATATCCATCATTTTTGAGCCTGGATTCAAACCCAAGTCCAGTTAGGGTGACTACCCTAATATAAAATATATAATTTTATATTACCAAGAATGTGCGCTAGTGAGTCAAAATGAAACAAGAGTAGTAATGCTACCTTTTAAAAACTTTCACGAACAAGGTAATTTTATTTGAGTTCTGTTCTGTAAATCTCATTTAAGTGAGCATAGATGCAGAAGTAAACATTATTCAAACAAGTGGAGTTTAGTAAAATCTCACTAGTTTGAAATCCAACATTTTGGAATTTGAGATCATTTAGACAGGATCTGAATTTAAGTTTACCCTTTCTTAAGAAGTCATTTCTTTCTGACAGTGTAAAGAAATATTTTAAATAAGATTTTAGAGCCAAATATTTAAGAGATCAAACTCAATATTGTAAAAATTTACAAAAGAAAAAGACACGATTTAGCCCAATTTAATTTATAGCATGAACTTGAAAGTTATCTGATTATCTATTACACAATTCTATAATTCAGACTGTTTCTTGAATTAGAAAGTCTACTGAGATGTTAGGGTAAACTCCATAGTTTGGCTATTCCACACCCATCTCCACTTGTCTTGCAAAGACATTCTTCCCGCTTGCTTTACAGCCAGTCATAACCCAGTCTTACCCAAGTCCCTGGAGGGGAGAGAGGGAAAGGGAAGGGTATTGGGTCTTTTAAGATTTGCTTTCATGATAAAGGAAACAGACATGGCTGGTGCTGCCTGTTCCCCGCACTGCCTGCCTTGAACGTTTGGAGCTGCGACTGCCATATTGCAAACAGGAGGGAAGGGCCAAGAGCACTGCAAAGACTCCAACTCTAATAACATTGAACAGATAAACCAATACCAGCTGCTGCCTCGCTCCAAACTTCTCCCTACAGGAGAAAAATAAACCCTTATTTGTTTAAGCTACTGTGGGCTGGATTTTCTGTTGCTTGGGGCCAAAGGCATTCTGAACTAACAGAACAGCTTACTGGGGCCAGGTTTCGATGTGATGTTGGCACCTACACAGGAGAAGCTAAGGCAAACCCATGTACAGACTGAAGGCCTGAGGCACGTTCTAACTATCAGAGCGCAGATGGAAGTAACAAGGCTGACTCCAAAGTAGACTCCAGCACAGACAGACAAGCACGGGGCAAGGGTTTGGGCACTAGCAAAGGTCAAGAATGAAGCAGAAAGAAACCTTGCCGAGATGAGCCTATTTTATTTTAAACTGATGTTTTGCATCCTGCTAACAAGTGATGTGGTTTCTTTCCAGCATTAAAATAAGAAATAGCTCCTCCTGAATTGATTTTGCCTTTTTATTTTATTTCAGTTTTAACTTTGAAGTAAATATTCCCAGAACCTCAGGCAAAGCTATATTCAAATATGAATGTTGAACCTGTTCCAGATGTAATTTTTTTGAATTATGAACTGCTATTTAATAGAGTAGCAGGCTCTAGAGTCGAAATGCCTTGTCCTCAAGCCTACCTCTACCATGTACCAATGCTATCAACCTGGACTTGCATTTCTGTGCCTTAGTTTTCTCATCTGTGAAATGGGAGGAAATAGAGAACCTCCCTAATAAAGTAATTGTGATAAATAACTAAGATGTACACTATTTAAAAGAGTAAATGGACAGTGTTGAAAATAGTACATGGAGCACTAACCACTTGATAAATATTAGGCATTATTATGGGTATTTAAAAGTCCATTCTGCATATATGTATGTGTTTATATGTATACAATCATTTATATTTTACTTTATATTATCAAGTAAAACATGGAATTATTTTTTAATTTCATCATCCAATCCTTTAGATGCCCCAAAGGTAAACCCAAGCAACCCCCTAGTGAATGAGTTGTCCTTAATCTCTTCTGCCTCTATTTTTTAAGTTCTGTGTCTATGCTCATTTGGTTAAGATTTGTGAAACAGAACTCTGAAAACCATTTACCCTTATTTTCATGAAACCTTGAAAGAATACAGGCTCTTTGTTAAAAGACCTCTCAAGCAAGCCTTCTTCAGCATCAACTGTTAGTATTTCTCCACACCACCAATTAGTAAACATATGTTTTGCATTTTGTTTGCTTGGTTTTTGCCTTTTCATCCTTACTTGACTTGCAAAATTGTAGCCTATGTCTGTTTCTGGGAGTCTTCATCTGGAAACAATGGGAATTGTTACCATTTCCATGTTTCTTGTTTGTCTTGTTTTGTTTTGTTTTTGAGGTGGAGTCACGCTCTGTTGCCCAGGCTGGAGTGCAATGGCTTGATCTCAGCTCACTACAACCTCCCCTTCCCAGGTTCAAGCGATTCTCCTGCCTCAGCCTCTCGAGTAGTTGGGATTACAGGTGCCTGCCACCAAGCCCAGCTAATTTTTGTATTTTTAGTAGAGACGGGGTTTCACCATGTTGGTCAGGCTGGTCTTGAACTCCTGACCTCAGGTGATCCACCCGCCTCAGCCTCCCAAAGTGCCGGGATTACAGGCGTGAGCCACCACGCCCAGCCATTTCCATGTTTCAATGCATGAACTGTTCTTTTGCACCTCTGAGCCACTTGCCTTTCCACATATTTTACATATTGTTGTTTTGTCTTTAGGTCACCTAAGAATTCCCAGTTTTTCTTTCCTTTGGTGAAAATGGCTTTTCCTTCCCCATTCATAACAGCTTGTTCCAAATAGCCAGCACCCCTCCACCTCCTCTCCCTACCAACGTGCCATCCGGTGTTTCAGGCTTCCTGAAGCCTGCTGTGTCTGCCCAGCTCCTTCTTGCATCCCAGCATTTAGAATCCTGAGTGCTTCCACTGCACGATCGCTATCTTCCAAATTGCCTTCCTGTGCTGCAGCTGCCACGACTCCTCAGCCGTGGTCAGTGTCAGGTCTAAAAGACCTGTCCCCTTGCTGGCTTCCCTATATCTCCCACATTAAAAAGTTGTCATCCTCACATTTCACTTGTCAGCAACATGATGCATGAATCAGATATTTCCTTTTACTCTTTCATCTTTGCAGCACGTTAAGAATTAGTGTCTAATGACACAGAGGTGAAAAGTTAATGGAAATTTAATTGAAAAAACTACCATCCCAGCAGGAATTGAACCTGGTGGCCTCAGCACAGGAGGTAGATATTTCATCCACTAGGCTTCTGAGTTTGGTTTAGCATATAGGATATAGGTATCACTTTGGTAAACAGATAATTCCCATATTTTCCCAGTATTACTTTGGTCAACAGAATGAAGAAAAGAGTGGATTCCAATTTAAATGTCAGGGCTGTCTACTTTAAGGATTCTGAACAGGGGAATTTTAATGAAAATAGGATTTAATTTCCTGTAAATGTTTGAGTTCTTCAACCCTAATATATAGAAATAATGAATATTTATACATGTGAAACACATCTTCTTAGCAGCATTTAGTTAGACATACCCAAAGGAACTCCGGGAGAATTTTTTCAGGTATAATGAGTTACACCTCAAATTTTTCTAGGGAAAATTACGTTAC
The DNA here is from genome assembly GCF_000001405.40 of Homo sapiens. Taxonomy (NCBI): domain Eukaryota; kingdom Metazoa; phylum Chordata; class Mammalia; order Primates; family Hominidae; genus Homo; species Homo sapiens. Next base: position 14,696,481 of record NC_000006.12, read on the forward strand.
CTAAATACTTTCGTTCCTTTCTTTCACATGGTTCACCAGAAGCCTAAGTCACATGGAGAAACATATACAAGGTATACAGTTACGATGATTCAACAGAGTAGAAGCCTGCAGGAATTTAGACCATAGGGCTGTCATTATATGTTTTTATTTTAAAAATAAATTAAGCTTAACCAATGTCTTATATCCAGATTAGCCTGGAGTTTTCACTCAATCTGCAATACTTAAGATAGATGAGGTTTCCTGAGCAAAGTGGGAATCTTCCAGTGTTCCAGAACATGGTAAGGTTGGAAGGGATTATTTACTTTCAACCCTGTGTTTGCTCTCAGTACTTTGCTATTTACTTGTGCCTAGGTAAGTGGCCATATGCATTGCAACACGTAATTTTAACTAAATTAACTTTCAAATCATTAAAAAAAAAAAAAAACTGTAAAAAAGTCACAGAGGCCAGGCATGGTGGCTCACGCCTGTAATCCCAGCACTTTGGGAGGCTGAGGCAGGCGGATCAGCTGAGGTCAGGAGTTCAAGACCAGCCTGGCCAACATGGTGAAACCCCGTCTCTATTAAGAATACAAAAAAAAAAATTAGTTGGGTGTCATGGTGGGCACCTGTAATTCCAGCTACTTGGGAGGCTGAGGCAGGAGAATAGCTTGAACTTGGGAGGCGGAGGTTTCAGTGAGCCAAGATCATGCCATTGCACTCCAGCCTGGGCAACAAGAGTGAAACTCTGTCTCAAAAAAAAAAAAAAAAAAAAAAGATTCATAGAAAGAAACCACAGGTCCAAAATACTGCAAGTACTACAAACCCCAGCAAACAACGAGAAAATGACAAGACCAACACTTCTCTCACACTCAGACAAACTCTTTATCGCTCATGTTAAAAAGGGAAGAAAAGATAAAAAACACTGAAGATTTTACTTGCCAAACGTCAGCCAATAAAAAAACCCTCTAATTAAAGAAAAAAAACTTATATAAAATTAGCCAGGTATGATGGCACATGCCTGTAATCCCATCTACTCGGGAGGCTGAGGCATGAGAATCCTTTGAACCCAGGAGGCAGAGGTTGCAGTGAGCTGAGATTGCATCACTGCACTCCAGACTGGGCAACAGAGCAGATCCTGTCTCAAAAAATAAATAAATAAATAAATAAATAAATAAACAAACATATTTAAAATAAGGACTTATACTCACAATAGTTAATAATGAACCTTGCAATAAGTATCTACTGTGACCTGAGATATAAACTAGTGACGGTATGAAATCATCAATTAGCAAGACATCAAAAGAGAAGCATACAGAACTTGAAAGCAATCACCTACAATGTTTCTATGCTTAAAGTCATGTGATATCCAATCAAGGGTTTACAAAACTTTACTAAGCTTAATGATAAAAATAATATAAATGGCTTTTTGAATTGTTAATAAAAATAACATTTCTAAAATATTTTTATTTTATCTTCATTCATTATATTAAGACAATATGCAAAATAAATAAATAAATAAATAAATAAAATTAAATTTAAAAAAATATATGCTAAAAAAAAAAGTCCTAAGATGTTGGATCAAAACAGTTTCTAGGTTTCTTCTCTATGGAGGATGTAGTAGCAGAAATCTTTTTTCAGGAATCTGAGTCTTTAAATTTTTCCTAATGACTTTTCTAAGAACTCGGTGCTGGCTGGGAGCAGTGGCTCACGCCTGTAATCCCAGCACTTTGGGAGGCTGAGGCGGACGGATCACTTGAGGTCAGGAGTCTGAGACCAGCCTGGCCAAAATAGTGAAACCCTGTCTCTACTAAAAATACAAAAATTAGCTGGGCATGGTGGTGTGCGCCTGTAGTCCTAGCTACTAGGGGAGGCCAAGGCATGAGAATCTCTTGAACCTGGGAGGCGCAGGTCGCAGTGAGCTGAGATCACACCACTGCACTCCAGCCTGGGCAACAGAGCGAGACTCCATCTCAAAAACAAACAAACAAAAAAACAACTCAACACTACATTTGCTATTCATGCCTTTAGATCTATATATAAATCCCTTGCCTTTCTTGATAACCCATCCATTTGGCTTAGCAGTTAACAGTATATCTAGAATCAAGCAGACCTGTGTGGAATCTGCTCTACCATTTGCTAGCTGGATGACTTTGGAAAGTTATAATCTTTCTGAACTTCAGTTTCCTCATTTGCAAAATAGAAATAACAATACCCATCTATAGACCAAAACAAAGCATGTAAAGCACTTGGCACAGTGCTCAGGTATGTGATAGGAGCCCACTAAATGTCAGCTATGATTGCTATTGCTATTATTATTATTATTATTATTGTCATTCACCTTCAGGTAGTCAGCTTTCCAGCTCCATTGAAGCCCTCACTGTCCCCTTACCTGCTTTCGATCACTCATCCTGAACACCTTTCTCTCAGCTATACATGGTCAAATACTATTTGTGCTTTCCTGTCCATCTTATTTATTTATTTATCTATTTATTTATTTATTTAGACAGGGTCTTGCTCTGTCACCCAGGCTGGAATGCAGTGGCACGATCTTGGTTCACTGCAGCCTTGACTTCCTGAGCTCAAGCTATCATCCCACCTCTGCCTCCCAAGTAAATGGGGATACAGGCACACGCCACCACACCCAGCTAATTTGGTTTATTTTTTGTAGAGTCGATGTCTCACTATGTTCCCCAGGCTGGTCTTGAACTCCTGGACCCAAGTAATCCTCCTGCCTCAGCCTCCCAAAGTGCTGAGATTACACACCAGAGCCACTGTACCCAGCCCTGTCCTCTCGGCTCACTGCAACCTCTGCCTCCCGGGTTCAAGCAATTCTCCCACTTCAGCCTCCCAAGTAACTGGGACTACAGGCATATGCCACCATGCCTGGTTAATTTTTGTATTTTTGTAGAGATGGGGTTTCACCATGTTGCCCAGGGTGGTCTCGAACTCCTAAGCTCAGGCAATCCACCTGCCTCAGCCTCCTAAAGTGCTAGAATTACAGAAGTGAGCCAGCGTTCCCAGCCCCTGTCCATTTTAAATACTACCTGCTCTATTATGTCTTCTCTAATACTGCCAAGCCAGAAGCAACTTTCTCCTCCACATGCAAATAACACTTTATTTGCTTACTTTCTGTGGAGCTTATTGTTTTCTCTTTTGTATGTAACATATGCAACATACATATGAATCACTGGCCTATAGGCTGTACTCCTTTCTAGAGAGTTTCCTGAGGATGTGGATCATTTTCTATTCATATGTGTCCTTTCCAAAGTGTTCAGCATAGAGCCTTGCCCTTTGTGACAATCAATAAATATGAGTTGAATGAATTAATATTTCTGTCCACTCAGTGCAAAACGTTTGCTCAAAGGCAAAGGACAGGCAATGAGGAGGGTCATAGGGTAATCAATATCTCAATCTTCGTGTCCCCAATCCCTGTCACATGTTACAGTAAATAAAGTGATATGACGTTTACCTAGACATGAAACTTCCTTTCCTTTTCCCTCCCTGCCATTAACTTGGCAATCTTGAGGAAGTCATTACCCATTCTAAGCAGCAGCAACCTCATGGATGAAAATAGGAAGTTGGGTCAAATATCTAAGGACTCTTGTGTTTGTAAAATCCAGTATCTCATATGTCAGACAATTTCTTACTCCCTGATATGGTTTGGATGTTTGTCCCCTCCAAATCTCAAGTTGAAATGTGACCTCCAATGTGGGAGGTAGGGCCTAGTGGGAGGTATTGAATCATGGGGGCGGATTGCTTATGAATGGCTTAGTGCTATACCCTTGGTGATGAGTGAGTTCTCGCTCTGAGTTCACATGAGAATTGATTATTTAAAAGAGTGTGGCACCTCCCCTCTCTCTCTCTTGCTCCCACTCCCATCACATGACACACCTGCTCCTTTTTACCTTCCACCATGATTGAAAGCCTCCTGAAGCCTCACTAGAAGTCAAGCAGATGCCAGCACAATGCTTCCAGTACAGTTTGCAGAACCATGAGCCAATTAAACCTCTTTTATTTATAAGCTACTCAGTTTCAGGTATTCCTTTATAGTGACGCAAAATGGACTCGCACACACGCACAGAGACAAAAGTTTGCAGGAGGGAGCTGAAGCATCAAAGCCACTGAGAGAACAAGTGGGATCCAAGCATCAAGGTTGAGTCCAGGAAACAATAGAAGGATGTACATGAGGAGCAAAGGGTTGGTTAAATGTGAGGTCAGACCTAGGGAAAAACCCATCAGGCCAAGAACAAGATCCACAATGGAGGCTGGAACATGACAAACAGCAACAACAACAAAACATAGTCCACATCAGCTAGCTCAACCAAGAAAATTTAATATGGGGCTCTTGCAGCAAAGGTATCAAAAAAAGATAAGTGTGTGAGGTAATGCATATGTTAATTAGCTTGATTTAGCCATTCCACAATGCATACAAATACTAAAACATTATGTTGTATGCCATAAATACATATGATTTTTATTGTCAATTTTAATTTTTTAAACACACACAAAACCCAAATGAGATTGTAAGGCAGCCCATAGATTGACAATGTCAAAAAGTCACAACCCCTTCTAGGACTGAGGAAATAAAGGAAGGAGGTGATGTTACCCATGCCCACATCCGGGCTGGTCCAGCAGGAGGGATTGTTCCATAACAGCTAGAACAGATGAGACTCAGCTACCCACAAATACACTCTCCCAAGCAGGAAACAAGAGGGATAAATACCTTGGCTTCTCCCATTCTCCTACCTTCCTATGACTCTCTTGGCCAAACCCAGCTGTAAAACCCCTGGCAAGATCGTTTGGGAATAGGGTCTATAGGGGTTAGCATCATGAAGTAAAAAATAGCAGGGGAAATCAGAAAAAGCTCAGAGAGAAAATAAACAACTAACCAACCCAGATGGTGTTGATGGTAGCTTCAGAGAGGATTTTTTTCCAGAATGGGATTTTTTTTTTTTTTTGAGACAAAGTCTCACTTTGACACCCCAGCTGGAGTGCATTGGGGCAATCTTGCCTCACCACAACCTCCGCCTCCCAGGTTCCAGCAATTCTCCTGCCTCAGCCTCCCAAGTAGCTGGGATTATAGACATGTGCCACCACGCCAGGCTAATTTTTGTATTTTCAGTAGAGATGGGGTTTCACCACGTTGGCCAAGCTGGTCTCGAACTCCTGACCTCAAGTGATCCACCTGCCTCGGCCTCCCAAAGTGCTGGGATTACAGGCGTGAGCCACCACATGGGGCCTACGGGTCTGGTACTTCTTTGAAGTTCCCGCCCCCAGCTGTTGCCATCACTCCTTGCTGTAAAGTATGGATGCCTTGGGGGTAACTAAGAAGAGATGTGCTGACAAATGGCCTGGCCTGATAAAATGGGGTTTAGATGTAAAGACTCTGTTATATATACTTAGTTGTGTAAATTCAAGAATTCTCCCCAAGATGCTTTTTAATGTGTTAAACTTACTTGTAACTCATGCTTTTCCGGCTTAGTGCATCCCAGACTAGAATATTAGCCTTGTTTTTCCAAAAGGACATTGATCTTATTGGCTTACCATGTAAACTATTAATTTAGCTTTAACAGTAAACCCATATTCCAAAAGAAACATAAAGTCCAACAGTGTGTTTTCCTGCTGAGTGCTGAAAAACAAGCTTCCTTTTTTCTTTTCCTTTTCTTATATTTCACAATGATATTCATTGACTTACAGCTGTCATTTGTGAAACATACAGTAAAACGACACCACATGCATATTTAACTTACACAAATTTAAGTACGTCTATTACAGAGAGAAAAATAGAGAGAGAGAAGCACACAGGGTCAGTGTAAGGAGAGAGAGGAGAGGGAAGAAATTTTCCAGTTACGTGGCGATTCTACCAACCATTTCACTTAGTGAGCAAATGTACCGGAGTGAGCAGGAGATGTGAGATGTGAATCTATTCTGCCCTGAATCAATTTTTGTTCCTGCTTATCTCTCAGAGCCTCTTGCCGAGATACTAATGTTTAAGGATATGGCACTGGAAAATTACATACTCCTTACATAGTCTTAACTATGGTATGTTTTTGTGTATAACAATAGAGTAAACTATGCAAGCTGCACAAAATGGGCAGCTTTTTAAGAGTGAATTTTTAAAAATATAATAGATTCTTAAAAATAGATTCACTTAAAAAGTGAATTCACTTTTTAAGAGTGAATTTTTAAAAATATAATAGATTCTTACCTTCCATGCTGACTTTAGAAACTAAACCTCCCATAAAGTGTCATTCCAGTGCATGTACACTAGGATTGAAAATTCAACTAAGAGGCTGGCAATGGAGCAGGACAGGGAAAAAAGAGCTTCACAGTCTTCCAAGACAAAAGTATTAGCCTTAGTATTAAAGAGCGAGAGAGAAAGAGAGAGCAAGAGAGAGAGAGAGAGAGTACACTGCTGAAAATTAGTATAGGTGCAGAATTTATCCTCATAGGCTATCCCCAGAATGGTACTGCTTCGAGATTTGTCATATGACTCAACCAGTTACTTCCTTTTCCTGTGCCTCAGTCGTCTCTCTTGTAAAATGGGAGCATAATATCTGCCTCTTATTTATCATCCCAAAAGAATATATAGTGATTCGATATAATTAGTAGGCGATCCATTCTCTAATGTTGAAATGATTAACCTAGAGAATCCAAGAAGACAGCCACTCTTTCAAGATGGAGTCTTGCTCCACTGCCCAGGCTGGAGTGCCGTGGTGTGATCTTGGCTCACTGCAACCTCTGCCTCCCGAGCTCAAGCAGTTCTCCTGCCTCAGCCTCCCTAGTAGCTGGGATTACAGACACGCGCCACCACACCTAGCTAATTTTTGTGTTTTTAAGAGAGACAGGGTTTCACCATGTTGGTCAGGCTGGTCTCAAACCGTGGTCTGCCTGCCTCGGCCTCCCAAAGTGCTGGGATTACAGGTGTGAGACACCATGCCCAGCCCCCGAATTTTTGATTGAAATAACCCATCCTGGGTCTATTCACGCCAAAGACGGCCAAACTTGGAGGTGTTGGAACAATTACAATAGTATGACTGTCACTTTGAACAACAATGACAAAATCATCATGATACTCTTAATCTAATATCTTAGGAGAGAAAATTTCCCAAGCTTAATCCAAATCTAAAAGGCTTCGTTTGATCTGCATCAGCTTTCTAATCTGACTTGTGTCATAATCCAAATACATAAACAAACAACCTAACTGGGAAAATCTCATGTGAGCTCCCACAGTCTGAAAAGCTGCCATCACTAATAAGCATTACTGCACTCACTCTCCCTAAACTCTCCACCCCCTGCTGCGTTCCACAGTGCAGCTCTCTCTAACATGCCAGGTCAATGCTGAGAAGGAACTTAAACCACAAAGGACCAAAAAGCAAATATTTTTGCCCAGAGCTAATGTAGCAAATTACATGCAAGACCTAAACTCCAAGAACCTTTTAAATGGCATGAGCCTACACAAACACGCGGTATCCGGTTTGCCAAGGGTTGAAAACTAAATTAAATTTCAGTCAAGTTCTACTGGCGATTTATAGAACAGTTAAAGGACCAGGGATCTGGTCTTGGCAGGGCCGCTGATGTACATGGTCTTCCAGGTAAGTAATTTCTCTCGTTGGGCTTCTGTTTGCTTGTCTATGATGCCAACATTCTGCTCTGAGTACAGAGGAATCATGAGAGTGCAGCAGGGTGCTCAGAGCTCCATGCAAGATAGGTGTCTATGCACCACCAGAATTTCATCCAGAATGTCTTCTTTCAAGTGCTCAGTTACCCTAACTGGTCTGCCCTGTATGACTGTGCAGTCCATAAACTGCAAAAGGGCACAAGTAGGATCTGAAGCCAAGTCCTCTTTCGGCCTTGAGCAGAGCCACATCTGACTGGAGGGAGCTGCCTCTTCTTCACATGTGGGCGCTATCTGCCCTCCTTGCCCAGAAGGTTCATCAGCTCTGAAGAGGCAACGTTTTCGAATTCCCTTCTAGATACCAAATGATGACCTGAGCCTTAGCCAGGAACGAAGCAACTGTCAGAATTGATGCCATTTGCAAAATGCCAGATGAGAGAAATGTTTGCAAACAGAGCTGCTTTGGAGAGAATCATAGCCGGGATGAACATTTGTGGTCAGAAGCAGGAAGCAGGCAGACATATTGGATTGAGAGCTGCCTTTGCACCCCAGCTACATTACCTCACATTTGACTGGAGTCTCCATTCCCTGCCTCTTTCCTTGTGGCTGCATCCCCAAGAAGCAGTGAAGAAGAAACTGAGGAAGCTTATTTAGAGAAAATAAGTGCAGTAGGGAAACTGGCCATGGCAGTGTTGCATAAAGAAGCCTTGGACTTAATCAACTGCATCTGCCTTTGTTTTCCTCCCACACTCAGTCGGACACCAGATAGCAGTGGTGCTTATTTTTTGAGAACTTGAAGGAAAATGCGTGTTTTTTTTTTTTAAGTCAACGTGTGCCATCAGTTCTACATCATTTTCATTTCTGACCTTCCTTATGCTTAGATTTTCAAGCAGTATTTCAACCAGGCATTTTTATCCTTGTCTATCAGTAGGGAGATGAGACACTGTCAACGATCGATCACAACATTTTCACAGATCCTGTGGCTTCAAATGTCACCCTGAAAAACCATGCTAGCAGACTATCCCCCAGTGCCTGGGAAGACCTGCAGGAAGCTGGCCACCAAGAGAAGGCTTGGTGGCCGAATCCAAATTCAAGTGCAGAAGGCTGGCAACACAAAGCCCTCAATGCAGACAGTACATGCTGGCCAGACAGAAACAGGCAACCCAACCAACATTCATGGCTACTGACCAACTACTTTTTTGAAATTTCCATGGATTCTGAATGTTTCTGAGTTGGGGAGGGTGAAGAGGATGTGGAAGAGACAAAGGGAGTATATTCCTCACTCCCTGACATAAACCATTACCAGAAAATTAGTGTTTGGAATTATACCTCTGACAATGAGTCATTTTTGTTACCTTTACTCTTTTCTGTACTTTTCCTAATATTCTACAAGCAATGAGTGGGTTCTAATAAACAGGAAGAAGGGAAAAGTATGTCTTGTTATCCAAACTTAGTTGATTCCTAAGTTCTGATGGTGAGTGTTTGGGTAATGGGTTTGGAGAGGAAAAAATCTATTTGGCTCCTGAGTTTCAGAAAACAAAAATTGAAATTTCAGAAAGTGCTGAGTTTATCTGAATCCACTTGCCTCCTGAGTTCTGAGGGAAAGACTTTGGATGGCAAGAGGTCAAATAGCAAGAGATGCCTATATAGAACTTTTAATAAATAACCCTTTTCCTCCCCTTCCTACATAGAAGCACCAAAATTATACCTCAGTAAACAGTTTTGCAACATCCGTGTCTGGCAAAATGTATACCAAAGAACTTTTACATGCCAAAACTTAACATTCATTTTTGGTTGCTTTTTAAAGTCAGGAAGTCTCCAGGGTTCCTCATAGAAGCAAAGAAATGGGGGACAACCCAGATAAGGCGAGTTTCTTTGTCAAATTCACACAATGGAAAGGCTTAAGTTAAGATTATTTTTTAAGTAAACCTGTGTTCTTTCACAGACTCTGCCAGTGAAGTAAGGCCAAAAGATTCAAGCAAATATGAAGCACGACTTCTCGGCCTCAGCCCACAAAGTCTTTTCTTGTGTTTTAGACAAATTGAATTAGAGAAAACAAAGTCCTGGCCAGACCTCTATGCCCTATGCCAAGGAACTGGAACTTGTCGAGCAACTAGGAACTTGAACTTCACCCTACATACAATACTAAAGAAGAAATATCATGGCTGTCAAATGAACAAAGTGTTGCTAATACACCTCAAGAAAAGATGTAACCAGAGAAGGAAAATGTTGTCTATAAAAAGTGAAAGGTGAGATCAGGCCTTTTGGAGATTTTTTTTTTCCTTTTTTTAATATCTTCCAAATATATCTGAACTTGTTTCCTACTTGGACTTATTTAATTTTCCCTGATGTACTTCACAGATGTGAGTTGTGCTTGGGAACACGACTCAGAGACTGCGTGGCTCTGACACAGGCATCAGGCGTGTGCAGCTCCCCCGCAGTTTCCCACAGCTTCACCGTCATCCACTCTCATGTCCCTTCAGAGTGCTGCCCACTTCCCGCCCAGCAAAGGACTGCATTACTCAGCACACAGCGACCCCTGACTCAGTCGATGTGGGAGGAGATCGTCATCAAGGCTGATGTGAGTCTAAGAAACATCCTGACTGGCCTAAGAAGACCATCGGGACTTGCCAAGTGGCCCCAGCTCATGGGGTTCATTCCTTCTTCTCTTATTGTGTTTAAAAGTGGTATAATTAGCAACTTGTTGAAAATGCTGGCTTACTTCCCGTTACCAGGGCTCAGCACGCCATACTCCCAATCATTGGTCCAAGCAGACATGTTTACTAAGTGAGTGGGGGATGAGAAAGAGAAAGGACAGATGTGAGGGAAATAGACAGAGCTGAATAGCACCTCACAATGAAACACACGAACTCCTGGGAAATTCTCATTTTAACACAACTGTAGTTCCCATGCGTTGGAACCTAATGTTTACCTTCATAACGGCTCCATCAGAAAGGCACTGTCATCATATGAGAAAACCAAGGGTGAAAGATTAGGTAATTTGCCCAAGGTCTCTTTAATATCTTCCAAATATATCTGCACTTGTTTCCTACTTGGACTCATTTAATGAGTTAGGAAATGAGGGAGCTGAGTTTCCAAACGAAGCCTAATCCCTGCTCTTTTGACCTCTATAAAATCTATCAGAATATTAACAAAGGGTGTTTAATAAAATGAGTTTGGATAGAGAACAAAGAAAACCCAGAGGTATTTGGAAAATGGTTTGTTCCAAGATCTTCTAAGTTAGCTATCTCATCATTGTCATGTTATTCTTGCTACTGCTGACAACCTAGCTTCCTGTATATAAAGAAGTATCAAAGAAAATACTTAATATTCTGCTTTCTTCACAAATACTCTCCTTCCAACTTCCCTTATTTCTTTTCCTCAGCTCATTTCTGTGTTGGCCAATCAAGGTCTTCCCAGGACTTCATCAGCATGAGACCAGCTCCACCTCCACACCTAACACAGCAGGTCTCCTCCAATTTCCCAAGAATCCTCTCTGAAGTCTGGCAGACCTTGTATTCAGCTGTATAAATGCTGCCTTCATCAGCAACCAAGACTTCATCTTCCCAGGCCCTCTTTGAGCCAGCCCCACCTACACCCAATCCTGGCTGCTTGAATTACAAACACACCTAGAGAAGGGCTTGTGACCCCTAGACCTGGCCCACCAGTGGCTTCTGCCATCCAAATACAGCTTGGCCCTGACAGGTACTTAGTAACCTGGTATTTGTCCTTCATCCACTCCCTGACTCCTTCCCCAGAACAACAGTTAAAGACCTTCTCACCTTGTCTTCAGCCCCATTCCTGGTTGAATAATACCCTTCTCCTCCTTCACCGAATAGCCAGAGCCCTTCTAGAGTCAACTTTGCTCTGAGGCCCCCTTTATCTGCATGCATCCCTTTCTCCTGCCTCTCCCCCTTCCTTTCCCTTGTCTTAAGACCTATTCCCCCTCAACAATCCTCTACAAATCCTGCCCTGGGTGTTTCCTTCCTCTGCTGAGGTCCTGAAGCACTTCTTATTGGCAACCTTCATTTGGCTTTGAAGGTACATTGCCAAATATCCCTTATCTTTTTTTTTTCCCTTTTCTTCTCTTCATATTTTAAATTGCACAAACAACAGTCTGGCTCATCTCTTTCTATGCACATATCCTGTCTACCCAACCCAATTGGGTGTCCTCCAATGCTTTGTCCTTCCCATCTGCTCATCTCCCTCCTAATGATTCCCTTGGAGAGGGCTCATCCACTTGCAGAGCACCATGGATACTACACAGATTCTTGCCACCAAACCTTGTTCAAGCCCCCCTGGCCTTACCGGCCTTTCTCCTTCTCCCAATTAATCGAAATCTGCACTCTTTCCTCAAGGCCACCTCACATTCCAATCAAGCCTTCTCCAACAAACACAGATCCACAACTACCTGTTTCTCCTCTGACTTTCTATAGATATTTTAATGCTTATATATAGTCTTGTTTTATTGGACCTCCTTTTGGACCGTAAATACAGTGAGAGTTTCCTGAGGACAACGACCAAGGCCTCAGCGTTGTGTTTCCCTAACATGGTGCTAGGTATTCTGAGGGTGCTTATTCATTACGTGCTATCTATAACACATGCAAAAAATAAAGCATAATTCAGACTTTTAGTTTCAAATATGGCACAGTAAACTAAAGCCCTAGTAGCTCTAAACTGAGCAAAGTCTGCAGCTAAAACTGAGCAAAAAATCTAAACCCTTGGAGTGAAGGATTTTGTGTATTTAAGAATCTCCTTTCAGCCGGGCATGGTGGCTCACACCTGTAATCCCAGCACTTTACGTGGCTGAGGCGGGCGGATCATGAGGTCAGGAGTTCGAGACCAGCCTGGCCAACATAGTGAAACCCTGTCTCTACTAAAAATACAAAAAATTAGCCAGGCATGGTGGCACATGCCTGTAGCCCCAGCTACTCGGGAGGCTGAGGCAGGAGAATCACTTGAACCTGGGAGGCAGAGGTTGCATGAGCCGAGATCGCGTCACTGCACTCCAGCCTGGGCAACAGAGCAAGACTCCATCTCAAAAAAAAAAAAAGAGAGAGAATCTCCTTTCACAGGGCACCAAGTTCAGTGACAGTGCAGAAAGCACCCAACTTCACAGGGTTGTCTTATCTGAGAGCAGAAACGCAACACCTTGAAAGAGCCTGTCTGGATCAAGAATTCAGCCCTCATTTTCCTAAGTGGAAAGTCTCATGTGGCCAAGCAAAGGTGACCCGATGAAAGCCAGCGTGTTCAGCCTCCTTTCAAATCGGCAGCCATAATTGCTACTCGCATTTAACATGGCACCAATCACAACCGTGTTCTGGGGCCAAGAACACTGGCCAGCTTACCACCTTCTGAAACTCGGGTGGCTGAGATCCAAGGCCAACAAGACTGAAGAGATGAGTCGCAGCAGTGGAACCCAACAGCTGCCACTGTAATTCAGGGAGCGTCCCCATAATCTGGCAGGGCAGAGTGGAACCTGTCATCCCCAGGAATTAGGGACAATTCAACCTGCAACCCTCAGAAGTTAGGTCTCCAGTAACTGCTACTGTTAAGAAAGTCCTCTCTTGCCTCTTCCTGGTTTGCAAATGTTGCTAGCCCTCTTGGATTAGCGAGCTAGGCCCCGTCTCGGAAGCGAGGTGTGGCACTTCACCCAGCAGACACACCCTCACAGACAGTCCCCATGTAGATGACAAGAAAAAGCTGACAACCAACGGTCCCAGGCTCTTCCATTATGATTGAAGCTCATGGGAGCTCGGCATCACTTAAAATGTTCTGTAAAGTTCTCAGGATGGTATTTAATAAGGCAGCAATTCAGTGTCAGTTCAAAAGCCATTTGGGGTGGAAATGGAGGGTAAAGTTGAGATGTCATAAACTCAGTAGCTTCCAAATTTTATTACAGGCTTTTTCAGGTCTAACAATAGCAATTTGGAGAAGGGAGAGAAAAGACATTACTCAGTCTTCAAAAGTACACCCCAAACTCATGCGAACTGTGAGCTGACACTGCCATCTGCTCTCCCTGACATGTGGTGTGGGAAGCATGATTACCATTTTCCTCTAAGGCCAGCGTCCTCTTTAGGATTCTCCCTCTAGCACCGGGCCTAGGACAGTCTTAATCCTGACAGTCCAGAACTTCAATTTTACTATTCACTCAACAAATACTTTTCAAGCATTTATATGCGCCAGACACTGTTATAAAGTCTGGGATGTAGCAATCACTAAAGTAGGAAAAGTTCTGCCTTGTTGGGGTGTTTATTTGCTAGTTAGGGGGACACAGGAATTAACAAATAATCAAGTATGAATAAACAGACTATCAGATGGTGATAGGTGCTATGGAAAAAGCAAGGCAGATTAAGAAGGACAGAAATCATCCAGGCAGGGGTGGGGGGAGTGGGGGATGTGGATTATGTGGTGCGGTCAGGGAAGGTCTCACTGAAGAGGTAACATCTCAGGAAGACCCAAGCAGGGGAAAGAGAGGCCATGTAGAATTGCAGGGCAGGGTTTTTCAGGCAAAGGGATCAGAAAGGGCCAAGACTGTGAGGCAGGAGAGGGATTGGTGTGTTTACAGAACAGCAAGGGGCCAAAAGGAGCGAGGAATGACGGTGACAGTGGAAGGAGCTAAGACAGGAGAGGTGGCCGGAAGCCAGATCGCTTGCAACCTTGCAAACCATTTTAAGGACTTCACCTTTAACTCAGCACATCAGTCAGGGCCTAACCAGGAGACAGAAGCCACACCAGTTATTTTAACACGGCTAATTTAATATAAAGAATAATTTTCTAGGAATAAAGTCTTAACCAGGTAACTGAAAGAGTAAAAAGACAACTCTAAGGTGTCTTTCGTATAACAACTTCAGGAAGCTCCACCCCTGGGGCTGGCAGAAGAAAAAGGGGGCTGTCGGATAATTAAAATTTAGAAGCTTAGAAAACAGTCCCATGGGGCTAGAACCCAAACCTCAAAGATGGGGCAATGGCAGTCAGTGCTGTGGCCCTAAAAAGGCACAATGAGTCTGGTTCTTGAGTGTAGGAAAAATTGCAACGTAGATTGAACAGCTGCTACAGGAAGAAACTGCTGCTGCCAAGATGAAGCAGCAGTACTGGGGTGCTGCACACAGGAGCCACAGGCAGACAGGATACCCATGGGAAAGAGTAGGAGCCTCTCTAGCAACCCCTACTGGCTGAGTGCAACAAGGAGCCCAACAAAGGAGAAATGCAGTGTTCAGGGGCCCAGCATAGAATCAAGTATTGAAGGAAGGCTTTGGAGCTGAAAGATGATAACTTACTAACTGGAACTCTCTGAATGAGATAAGATTTTGAGCAAGGAAGTGACAAAAGCTGACTCACTCTGACATCTGTGTTGAAAACAGACAGTAGAGGAGCAGCAACAGTGGAGGAGGGAAGGAGTGGATGGATTCTGAATACAGGCATCCCACTGGATTTGCTGATGGTGTCCATGTGAGCTGTGAAAGAGAGGAGTCAAGGGTGACTCCTTCATCGAGGCCTGAGTAACTGAATGGAGACAAATTTACTGAGGGAGCAGGGAGAGCAAGGGGGCAAGAACAAGCTTGTTAGGTCAGCTTAGGTGTGAGGTGCCTGTTAGAAATTCAACTGAGGGGCTGGGCGCCTGTAATCCCAGCACTTTGGGAGGCTGAGGCGGGTGGGTCACCTGAAGTCAGGAGTTTGAGTCCAGCCTGGCCAACATGGTGAAACCCCACCTCTATTAAAAATACAAAAATTATCTGGGTGTGGCAGACACCTGTAGTCCCAGCTACTCAGGAGGCTGAGGTGGAAGAATTGCTTGAGCCCAGGAGGCAGAGGTTGCAGTGAGCCAAGATCGTGCCACTACACTCCAGCCTGGGTGACAGAGTGGGACTCCATCTCAAAAAAAAGAAAGAAAGAAATTGGACTGACAATGACAGCAGGCAGTTGCATCCCCAAGCCTGGGGAGGGTTTAAGTTAGAGATATAAATTTGAGGCTCACCCATCATATAGATGGATTTTAAAGCCACATGATTGAATGAGATCATGCGTGTCATCTCAACGTCACTTAGAATATGACATGGCTAAGAATCAGCTCTGGAATCAGAATGATGTCAATTTGAATTCAAACTCTATCGTCACTGGATTTTCTCAGATGTTCTAAGCCCTGATTCCCTCATGTGTAACCTAGAGATGATACTAATCATGCTGACTACACTGATCTTATGTACGGATTAGATTCAGTAACGTAAGGAAAGCCCTTACACCAGTGCCTGATATCAACTCTTATAAATAAGAGTTATTATCATTATCATAGTTTTATGATATTATTAGTAGTCAAAGATAGCCAGAGCCTAGAAAATTAGGCTTCTAAGACCCAAAAGCAAAGAGACCTGAATTGTACTAAAAAGACAACTTATTAATTGTAGGAGAAGATACAGTGGCATCTTATGTGAAATAGGTATATAAACCATGACTCTGAATTACTGTGGCTTTCCTTTTACAGATACATTTATTCGGAGTACTAAAAATTTTTTTTTTTTTTTTTTTTTTTTTTTTTTTTGTAGAGACAGGGTCTCATGTATTGACCAGGCTGGTCTCCAACTCCTGGCCTCAGTGTCCCAAAGTGCTGGGATTCAGGTGTGAGCCCCCATTCCCTACCTCAAATGGTTTCTAATCAGGCCAATTCTCCTGACCTGTAACAGAGCCTGCCCTAGCTCTCAGAATTCTGCTGCAGAATGGGCTAGCAGTCAAGTTTGTTCTTCTCCATGAGAAGGTTTAGCACCTGGAGAGTTGAGAGGTAAGTTTGATGTACATGAGGACTGTTCCTCTGGTTTGTGAATAACCAGCCAGGGAGTAAAAAAAAGATGCCAGACAACCCTCACAAAGGAAAGAAGGAAGGGAAAGACAGATCCACAAAACGATTCTAAAGGAACATTATTAGCAAATCCTTTAAAATACCAAAACTGAGTGTGCAGGGCAAGACCAAGATAGAAACAGAATGCTTGCCTGGGGACAAACTATGGAGACATCAGCATGTGCCTGTCGTGAGTGAGCTGCTGATGAGTCAGGAATGAGCACAGCCCCAGGGTGACTCCGAGACCCTGTGCACCCGTCACCACTCACTCCTAGTTGGCCTGGGAACAGAGCCCCATCCTCCATTAATTGTTCACCTCTCATTAAGCATTTTTGCATCAGGCAGCCATTCCTTTCCAAGAGCTCAATTGCAGGGTTATGTAAGGTTCTCCTGTATTCCTGGCCGGAGAACTGAGACCAGCTGCCTGTCCAGGGCGCTCCCTTCCTAGGCGGTAGGTCACTCCAGGAAACCAAACGGCAGATTACAAAGCCTAGAAAACACAGCAGGGGAGTAGAAGAGGCTGGATGTCCTCCCAGGCTGCTCTCAACTGTAGAGAGCAGAAAATTCTCTGCTTCCTGAACCCCGAGTATGAAATCAAATCTCCCCATCCCCAGGTTGGTGTGAAGGACCTTTCAGCCAAGTCTCTCCACGACCACCTTGGATGATATCAAAGCTCTTCCCATTGTTCTTCTGCTTCCAGAGCCTTCTCCCACACAAGTTCCCAACCCTTTCACCATGTGAAAAACTCCACCATCCAAAGATTCTATTCCAAACAGCTGTTCCTGGATGCGAGGAGGGATCCATCTAGAACAGTGATTCTCAACCCTGGCTGCGCTTTGCAGCCTCCAGGGGAGACTTTAAAAGTGCTGATGTCCAGTCTCCACCCCAGGCTCTCTGGGAATGCGGCTCAGGCACCAGTATTGTTTTTAAGTTCTTCAAGTGTTTTGACTGTGCAGCTGCATTTTAAAACTAATTGTTTTCGACTATAAATTCCCTTCAGTATACTAAAGCCATTGCCGACCCTCAGGGTTGTTTTTCTAAGAACGCATGATACGACTGTCATCGTGATAGTTGCTATAAGTTCCTTCTTCTCTCCCTCTGTTAAAAGATACACCTTAGACAAATAAAATTTAACCGAGTTTAATTGAGCAAATAATGATTCGTGGATCAGGCAGCCCTTGAACCAGAATAGGTTGAGAGGGGCTCCAGCATAGCCACATGGTGGAAGACTCATGGACAGTAAAAGGAGAGTGATGGACAGGAAACAGAAGTGAGGTACAGAAACAGCTGGATTGGTCACAATCTGGTGTTTGCCTTACTTGAACAGGGCTTGAACAGTTGGCCCCCTGTGATTGGCCAAAATTTGGTGATTGGCACAATAATAGATTACAGTCTGTTTACATGTCCAGGTGGGTGACCATTTACTGTGTACAGAGAAACCTTTAGGCTGAACTTAAAATATGTAGGGAGATAGCTTTAGGGCTAAACTTAATTTAACTCCCTCCCTTCCTCCCTCCCTTCCTTCCTTCTTTCCTTCCTTCCTTCCTTCCTCCCCTCCTTCCTTCCTTCCTTCCTCTCTTCCTTTTCTTCCTCCCTTCCTTCTTTTCTTCCCTGACAACAGTGAAGAGGACAGATCACATCACTAGGCCTGAGCTCAGCATAATGGAAGCCAGGCCCCACCTAACATACTTCCATTAAAATCTAAACCACTACATGGCCCCTGAAAAAAAAGTCTCTAAAAGAGCAGAGGAGCTAGGAAAGGGCCCAAAGCTGATGAAAGACTCCAAGTGAGGGGGAAAAGATACCCTGCTGCAAAGGTGGATAGGAAAAGACAAGAGAATGCCTCCCCTCTTTGGAGAATTTTTCTGTCAAAATGCCTTTTTTAGAATATTTATTTATTTATTTTAGTGTCTCTCATTCAGCTCTTTGGCTGGCCCATTGTCCAAGGCAACATCTTCCTATTATTCTATTATCTGTCAGATGGCTACTGCAATTGTAGAAGACAACGCATGAGAAGGATCGGGCTTCACTTTTCTGCAAATGGTTGGTTCAAAATAAGCCACCAGAGGTGACCTGGTCATTGTACCCCTCCTAAAAAATGATACCAAGATGAACTTGAGAGCTTGCCAGCCTCTTTCCCTTCCCTGTGCCTCTGTTTCCCTACCTATAACACAGACATGGCAAATTTGGACATCCGAACACCACTGGGTGAAGATGAATGGTTCAAGTTTTAATCATCCTCGTTTGCAACATCTGAACATTTATCCACATATGTTTCCCCAGCACTCACTTGCCATCCCCTCCCCCTCTTTTTTTATTCATTTCTGAAAGCTTCTATTATCAATCACTGCATGAGGTAAATTTTCAAATCAGCAGTCAGGGTTTTTAAGCTGCATGACTCCTATTATAGCCAAAAGGAGGCAGGTGACCAACACTGATGCAGTCTCGAAAAATCCCCTCTGCAGCCTCCTTCCTTAGTGTTCGTTCATTCATTTTCAGGGCATGCATTGAGGCTGGGTTTAACAAAGCCTTCACCGAGGATCAGTCTACCTTTCACAGAGGGCCCAAGGGAACAGGGAAGTGGAGACACTGATCTGGAAAAGAGAGAAAGGCAGGAGAGTGGGTTTGGAGAGCATTTCTTAGGCATTTTGTCACACCTTCCAGCCAGCTCCATTAGGGAGAACTGGGGTGTGTCAAAATTGGGTGCCTGGTTCTCTCTCCATCATTCCTGCTTCTCTTTTCCCTTTCATAGCAGTGTCCCTAAGGGATGCCTTGCACCCACTGGCAAAGCCATCCCTATACGAAAGTCCCCAACTCCACACTTCAGCAGCTCTGGAGCCCTCGGGCTCTGCCTGACTGTCCACTGTGGTGGCACGAGCTTACTCTCCTCCACTCCGGTCTCCCGAGTTCTCATTTCATCCACATGTGTGTCTGACCCTGCTCTACACCTGGACACTGTGTTGTCTATGACCCCTATAGGTAAACAGGATCTCCCTGTCTGTTGGACACGTGGGTGATCTTGACACAAACACCCAATTCTAGGCCTCTGAACGTCCAAATTCTTTCTTGTAATTTCAGCCAACTGAAGGGCCTTACCCTCCCCTGATGCCCTCTGCTTCTGGATTCCACACCTTCACATACTGCTTCTGGGCTGTGTCCTATTGGCTCCCTACTGTATTCAACGTCACTGTCACAAAATAACTAACAAGTGCTACAGAGAAGGGAACAAGAGGAAAGACTGACATCATGCAGAAATCAAGAATCTATGGGCTGGGCACCATGGCTCATGCCTGTAGTCTCAGCTGAGGTGGGAGGATCACTTGAGCCCAGGAGTTTGAGGCCTGTCTGGGCAACATAGTGAGATCAGGTCCTAAAAAATAATTAAAAATTAGTGAGCATGGTGGTGCTCATCTGTAGTCCCAGCTACCCAGGAGGTTGAGGCAGGAAGATTGCTTGAGTTTGGGAGTTTGAGGCTGCAGTGAGCTGTGATCATACCACTGAACTCCAGCCTAGATGACAGACTGAGACTCCATCTCAAAAAAAAAAAAAAAAAAAAAGAAAAGAAAGAAAAGAAGAAAGAAAAAGAAAGAAAAGAAGAAAGAAAAAAAAGAAAGGCAGGCAAGAAGGAAAGGAATAAAATCCACAATGCACATTCCCCAAGCCCTCCCAGTTATCCATGATCAGGAGGCTGTCTCTTTGCCTGCCTTCTCCAACCCTGCACCCAGCCTCTTTGCCTCTGCAGGACTTCCCCAGAAAGTTGAATCTTCTTCCCTTTATAGAGCGGAGCAGTTCAGCTCAGACTTGTAGGCACACCTGTGCAGCACAGACCAACGTCTCTCCTTGACCACGGCCCACAGCCTTTCTCTGAGGAAAGGGCTCGCCGCAGGCAATTCCCTATTCAAAGGTCACCATCGGCTAACAGGGGTCTTGCCTCCCTCAACTCATCCAATGTTGAGGTACAGCAACTGAATCAACCAAGAGCGGGCCAGTGGCCTCTGACAAGTCGGGACAAGAAAACTCTGCCTCGGAGGGAAACTCTAAACTGTGCAGCAACCATTCAAGTCCAATCAGATCCTCTCTCAGAAGCTGGATTGTGGGAGAGCCTGTCACAGTCTGCAGCAGCTGAAGCAGCCAGGACAGCAGCAAGTAGGCAGAAGGACTTCAAAAGAAGAGACAGAGAGCAGAAGCCATAAGGCCTAGAAAGCACAAGGAAGCAAAAGTCATGAGGTTGGGAACAAGAAACAGGCAAGGCAGCAACAGCAAGTGGCAGTCACGGCAAGGAAGAGACCACACAAGGGGATTTGGAATGAATGAAGCCACCGTTTTCGTACGAGGCCTTAGTTACTGAGCTGCAGACTCGGGGTTCTGTGCAACCTTACCTCCCTGTGCATGCATGCAGTGCACCCCCATTGTCTCTGGTCTAGAGACCTTCTCTGCCCCTCACAACCTCAAGCAGTGGGCTCCGGGCCCCTACTCTGTGCAAACTCTGCTGGCCTATTTCACAGGACTCACCATGTCCCCCAAACTCCTTACCCTTTGGGTAGAGATCCGTCTTACTCAGGTTCACATCCTCATGTTCACAGCTCCTCCCACACAGTCAACACTTAGAGCTTGACTTCCTTCCAGCCCAGCCCTCTACATGGTGCCTATGACTTTAACCTAATTGCCTGTATTTCCTCCCTGTATGAGAATAGATACCCAAATACAAGATTTCCAACCTATTCCCTCCAGATGACAAACAAGCTACAAGAGACAGTGTAGACTAGAAGAACAACTGCCTGGACCCGTGGGAAGAAGGTGGAACAAGACCTTGCAGTAAAAACAAAAGCTGTCAGTTGATCTAATGGCGGTAGAGAGTAGAAGGGTGGTTACCAGAGGCTGGAAAGGGTAGTGGGGAGTGGGGATGAAGAGAGACTGATTAATGAGTACAAACATACAGGTAGATAGAAGGAATAAGTTCTAGTGTTTGATGGCACAGTAGGGTGACTGTAGTAAATAATTGAGTGTATATTGCAAAATAGCTAGAAGATTTGCAATGTTCCCAACACAAAAACATGATCAATGTTTGAGGTGAGGAATATCCCAATTACCTTGATTTGATCATTACACATTGTGTGCAACTATCAAATATCAAATGTACTTCATCAACATGTACAATTAGTGTGTATCAATATAAAATATTTTTTAAAGCTGTGATTCCTGCTCCTACACCCCTGGGCAGCCATCCCACCTTTGCAGCAATGAGGTAGAGAGCTGGGGGGAACTATCAGGTTCTCCTGTGTTCAGATAAAATGTAGCATGGTTGTGATTGAAAGGCCTCAAGTTTTCTAGTTCCATTTTGTTCTATTCCCCACAAAAAACAACTACAGGCTGGGCGCAGTGGCTCACGCCTGTAATCCCAGCACTTTGGGAGGCCGAGCTGGGCAGATCACGAGGTCAGGAAATCGAGACCATCCTGGCTAACACAGTGAAAACCTGTCTCTACTAAAAATACAAAAAATTAGCTGGGCATGGTGGTGGGCGCCTGTAGTCCCAGCTACTTGGGAGGCCAAGGCAGGAGAATGGCGTGAACCCAGGAGGCGGAGCTTGCAGTGAGCCGAGATCGCGCCAATGCACTCCAGCCTGAGTGACAAAGTGAGACTGTCTCAAAAAAAAAAAAAAAAAAAAACAACTACAGAGGAGCTGTAGCTCTAAAACTCAGCAGGGCTGGGCATAGTGGCTCACGCCTGTAATCCCAGCACTTTGAGAGGTCCAGGCATGCAGATCACTTCACGCCAGGAGTTTGAGACCAACCTGGCCAACATGGTGAAACCCTGTCTCTACTAAAAATACAAAAATTAGTGAGGCATGGTGGTGTGCGCCTGTAGTCCCAGCTACTCAGGAAGCTGAGACACGAGAATCACTTGAACCAGGAGGCAGAGGCTGCAGTGAGCCAAGATCATGCCACTGTACTCCAGCCTGGGCGACAGAACAAGACTGTCTCAAACAAAAAATTTAAAAATGATATATATATATAACACAGATGGAGAGAAAATAAATCAATGAAACTATGGAGCAAAGAAGAGAAAAATCTCAGCAAGCAGTCAGACTGACCCTTTCTGCTCAGTGTGGCTGAAACCAAAGCAATGAGGCTGGCACTTTGCCTCCTGTCAGAAAGGCTACGTGTGTTTAAAGGACAGCAGCATTCAGAGATTTTCTCTGCAGGAGGTCTTGCTCTCTTCTCCTGCTGAAAATGTCTGACTCGATTCATAACCAATATCTAAATATAGTCATGTTGGTTATTTCATGCACTATTTACATGCATAATCGTAATCTCAATTGAGTCTCAACTTCAGAAACACAGTTTATTACAGTGGGATTAGAGTACACAAACTCCTATATTCTGCATTCCACAGCCATCTTCCTTCTCTACTTACCATTAACTAGAGTGCTTCCACAGCTTATTCTCCAGTGGAAACCAGTAAGAGCCTCCGAAGGAAGGCCAAGTAGTGGAGGCGTGACCTCCCAGAGCCGACCACTGTCTCTCCGCTGACCCAGCAAACAGCCTACATGATAGTCACAAATAATATGGCCCCATGGGCATACGCGTGGGCCAAGTGTATACCCGCCCCTTCCTTCCTCTCCCACTCAAGAAAGCAGATCAGAATGCAAGAATCTAAAAACAGCATTGTTATGGAAGCACACTCTAAAATATATTGTAATTTATCAACAAAGTAAATTATTCAAAACTGTGATACTCTGTTATTAGCTAGCAAATTCCTTTTCATACCCAGAGTGGAACACAATGGTTGAACACTGCTTTCTTAGACACAACTTTGAATGCCAACCACTTGAATTGTTGATGTCTGACAAGTGACAAAAATGATAAATGCTAGTGTAAATCAACTCATAGAAGATCCAAGCACTTTAGAGAAAAACAAAATATCTCTCTCTTTCTCAGAACATGCTTACCAGAACCCCACACTCTTCAGTAACAATAACAAGTGTATGATCACCCAACAAAGGCTCTATCACTCTCTAAGCAAAATAAACAGGATAAAACGTGACAATTTTATCATTATGGATTATTTTAATTTTTATTATTTGTGTTTTACAAACTTTCTGATTCCCTATGAACATCCTTTACCTTTTTAAGGGATAATGTTTAAAATGTTATGTAAAAAATGGAATATATTTTCAACACAAGGAATGGAAAGTCATGAAATTTAATGAGATTCTAGAAGACATTGGCTTGCTTCAAAGATTTATGCAAGAACATATCTGTAGCAATGAGGAAAGAAGGCATTTTAAAAAGACCTCCAAAGAGAAAAAAATTGCTATCACTTTTTTACTGGAAGATGTGACAGATATTGTAACAAAATTCCCACGGTCCCAAAAAACCATTAAAAGATACCTCTTTCTGAATGCCTATAATCTGAAACAAGACTAATTGGATCTGTACAAGTCATCCATCAGCTAAGTTCCTCTAAGTGAAAGACACTTGTCTTTAGAAAAAGCATGTCCCCAAATTGGAAATATGAATTGATCAAAGGTACATAGGCACAACACCAAAATCTATTTGGTCACTGAAAAAAAAAGGGTTTCTCCAGTTCTGGGCTTGGGATATTTCTTTCCAATCATTTGGGAAGCAGTTGAATCAAGTCCGGGGGTTAAAATACTGAAAGTCCAGAGGGCAGCATTTCCATACAACTCACACATTTCTCCTGCTGAAGTGAGCTTTGAAGTTGAGTGGCAGCCAAGATAGAGGGGTAGAAAAAAAAGAGAAAGAGTTACATAGGGGCTGGTAGTCACTCAAAGGAAGAACAACAAGAATTAAGAGAAAGAAAAAGAAAAGGGAGGTGAAAATGGATTAAAACAAAGCCAGGGAGGTCCAGCCTTCTCCCTCATTGCCAAGGTTGGGAAGATGATGGAAGTTTGTCCTGCAAACTCATCAGGACTGGGGGCAGTAATTTACCAAGGTCAAAGGGCAAGGGCAGGCCCCCTCAGTGACCCAGCCTTTGCAATGAAAACATTCCAAAGAAACTTAAGCAGACAGAATGTGTAGATATTTGTGCACCACAGCTGGGGGAAGCCTCCACAACCTTTCCCAGTCTTAGTCCTGTCAAATGACAAATGTCTCTTTTATGTAAGGATCAAACAGTGTTGGAGGCAGTAACATAAGCAAAATCTTCAGTGACATTGATTTTGCATGTTAGCAGAGTTGCTTCTAAAGAGGAACTCCCACGACTGCCAGAGAGTTTCTTAACCTGAAAACTGCAATTGTGCAACTCACTTAACAGCCAAATATAGGCCAACAGGAACAAATTCATCCAACCTTTCTGACAGCGTCACGTTGACACTTCAATTACCTGATAACTGCAGCAATGTTTTCCTAGCTGAGCAGGAAAACTTCAAAAAAAAAGCTTAACCTTTTTCCTCTTTAGCTTCCGCTAACCATCCACATCTGCTTTCCTGGCTAAGTCTCCATAGCAGCTATTATCAACACATGAATGGAATTCAAAAAAAAAAAAGAGACCCAGAACTGAATTCAAATTCTGGCTCTACTATTTTCCAAGGGCGTGTCCTAGGGCAAGTCACCTAAACTCTATGATCTTCCGTTTTAAGTTGCTATGAAAAAGTAAATAATATAAGAAATGTTTGGAAGACAAAGATGCTCCAATGATTGTTGTCATGCCAATGGTAACAAAAGTAAATAAGGATTGGGCTTACTCTATGACAACACGAAAAGTATATTTCTTCTCACCTAAGTAAAACATTTGCTACCTCCTGAACACGATTATAAGTCGCCAACCTCTCTTTAGTTTTATGTAAAAATATTCTGCTCCAGGCTGGGTGCAGTGGCTCACACCTGCAATCTCAGCACTTTAAGAGTCCGAGGCAAGAGGAGCGCTTGAGTTCAGGAGTTTGAGACCAGTCTGAACAACATAGGGAGACCTCATCTCTATAAATAATTTTCCAATATTTGTCAGGTGTGGTGGTGCACGCGTGTGGTACCAGCTACTTAGGAGGCTGAGGCAAGAGGATCACCTGAGCCCAGGAGGTTGAGGCTGCAGTGAGCCATGATTGCCCCACTGCACCCCAGCCTGGGTGGCACAGCAAGACCCTGTCTCAAAAAAAAAAAATTCTACTCCAATTGTATTGAAAGATTCTCAAGGGAAAATTAATGTTTAATCTGATGTCATCATTCTCTCAATATAAACAAAAACCAATAGTCAGATTTTGTATATTCAAGGAATAATTACAAGTGATTAATATAAAGATAATGTCAATGATGAAAAAAATATGCTATGGTCAGCATTGTTTTGGTTTTGGTTTTTCCTAGTCTAAGATGGCAGTAGAGCATATAGCAAATATCTCTGGGCACCACTCTCTTTTATACAGATTTCCATTAAAGCAATGGGAGTCCCTTTACTGCATTGGTTTGTTTGTTCTTCCTAGAACAGAAGCTCCCGTGAGTGAAATTAACTTCTGAGCCAACTTCGTATACCTAGTATCACATGGTAGGCCAGGCTGGATAGGCAGATGGTCAGTCCACCTGCATTGGTAGGCAAAGTAAGACACAATCTTAAAAAGAACACTATTTTATAAGTTTATATTATGCTTGTATCTGTTAAGATTAGGCTCAGCTGCAACCATCAAAACTCTAGCAAAATGGTTTAATCAAAATAGAGAGGTATTTCTCTCTCACGTGGAAATCTAGAGCTAGTCTGTCCACAGCTCCACAGTGCCAGGGATGCATGTGCCTTGCATCTTACTGTTCTATTGTGTGTGGCTTTTATTATCAAGTTAACATCTTGGAATCCAGGCCTTACAATCACAATCCAGGTAGCAGGAAGGTAGGAGAACAGTGCACATGGGTATAGGGTAGCAAAATGGGTGGACTCTATCACAGTGTATAGCTGGGCTCTGTGTGTGTCCCCAGTCCTTGTGGGGCCCAGCAGGCATCGCAGCGTGGCAGCCATGTCCAAGCCACGGCCTGGGCATCCTGTCACCTGCCCAGGTACACGGTCACTCACACTGGGGGCTTTCTGTCGTGTGTGTGTGTCTTCCTGTTGACTGTGCACTTCGTTCGCAGTGCAGAATGTTTCCTGTTCTCAGTGCGTGAAGACACTGGTTTTCAATCAGTGTCTAAAACCACGTTCCTGCCTTTCACTGCAGTACAGTGTGTTCATTTTTTAAAAATAGAGTTTAATGAGTAAGTTTAGATCTGACTGGTGAATATCTTAAAACTTTATATTAATAAAAAGTTCTTCCTGGAAAAAAAAATCCATTTTTCCCCTTTTCAATAACAGAACTTCAATTTTTATTTCAGCTTATTGCCATCCACAACATATATTTCCCAGCCTACCTGGCAGGTAAATGTGGCCATATGACTAGGTTCTGGACAATACAACATAAGCAGAAGTATTGTGTGGAATTTCTAGGAAGTTCCTCTGTAAAAACACACACACACACACACACACACATGAGCCAGGTGCAGTGGCTCATATCCGTAATCCTAGCAACTTTGGGAGGCCAAGGCAGGAGATCAAGGCCAGGATTTCAAGACCAGCCCAGGAAACCAAGCAAGACCCTCTCTCTACAAAGAATTTAAAAATTAGCCAGGCATAGTACTGTGCAACTGTAGCCTCAGCTACTCGAGAAGCTGAGGCAGGAGGATCACTTAAGCCCAGGAGTTAGAGGCTGTAGTGAGCTGTGATTGTGCCACTGCACTCCAGTCTGGGTGAGAGAGCAAGAAAGAACAAAAGAATGAAAGAAAGAAGGAAGGAAGGAAGGGGGGAAGGAAGGAAGGAAGGAGAGAGAAAGAGAGAAAGAAGGAAAGAAGGAAAGAAAGAAATGAAGGAAGGAAAGAAGGAAGGAAGGAATGATGGCTGGAGCTCTAGCAGCCATCTTGAATCATGAAGACAATAAAGACAAAAGCTATAACCTAAGAATGACAGATTAATGAACTAGAAGGAAACTGAGTATCTGAAAACCTCATGGAGGAACCATACCAGCCATAGACTGCAACTCTGAATTTCTTTTATGTAAAAGACACATTTACTTTCATATTTTTATGCCACTTATATAAGATATTTCTGTCTCCTATAAAGAAGAATCTAATTCTAATCAATACAGTGCTGAAGTAAACTTCCCCACCCCCCGTTCCTCTCTACTGGTTACAAGCAGCAGTCTCTTCCACCAACACTGGCCATTACTGAATCTTCTATCTTACCCTTTCTCACAGGGAGTATCAAATAAAGGACACATAGCCCATAACTTTTATTTTTGCAAACTATGAAAATTTTATAACAAAGGGAAATAAAACATGAACCATCAACAATTCTCTATACAGCTATTGTGAGATAAAAAAAATTTAAAGAATTCACCTTCCAGACAGGCATTTCTGTCACTACCTAACATCTGTGGCCATGTTCTCATTATGTACTTCATAAGGAAGAAAACATATCTTCAGGTAAATGGTTCTTAATTAACTTATGTACTTGAAAAAATAAACTCAGCAGGAAAAAAAATATATCTATTGCTCTATATTAAAGAGGCAGATTAAAAATTTGCCCTAAAACAGAATTTGCAACTCAGCAGGGTAAGAAGATGATTCCATTTTACTTCTTATAAATAGAAGTTTAAGGCACACACGTTGTCAAAACAACTTTATAAATAAGCTGGTGCCAACACACTCATGAATACTAAAAATGTTTTCCAGGTTCTCAGTTGTCTTCTCTATGATTCTATTGAGGTTATACCTATTCCAATAAACTCAATTCTCATTGCAATTCTTAGTGAGTCCAGTGTGCCTCCTCGTATAAGATAAAGGGTTTCATAAACTGACACCATGGACACATGAAGATTAGTCAGCTTTATGAAGCCAGTGACTTGGTAGCTCCTTTAAGTATTTCTGTAAGGCACTTTGGCCTCCAATGTTCACTCCAGATTCTATGGTGGAGGAGAAAGGCTTGTGGACCTACAGTTTACTTCAATGACTTGGATTCTTGTCCCAACTCCATTTTCTAACATGTGGTGTAAATTTGAACAAGTGTCTTAATCTCCCCTGCCTCTCCTTTCTATTAAATAAGAATAATACCAATTTCAGCCAAGCTTGGTGGCTTACACCTGTAGTCCCAGCACTTCAGAGGCCAAGGCAGGTAGATCATCTGAGGTTGGGAGTTTGAGACCAGCCTGGCCAACATGACAAAACTCAGTCTCTACTAAAAATACAAAAATTAGCCAGACATGGTGGCGCATGCCTGTAATCCCAGCTACTCAGGAGGCTGAGGCAGGAGAATCGCTTGAACCCGGAAGGCAGAGGTTGAAGTGAGCCAAGAGCCAAGATCACACCACTGCACTCCAGCCTGGGCAACAGTGCCAGACTCCCTCTCAAAAAAAAAAAAAAAAAGACTACTACTAATTTCAATTTTGATAAGGTTCAATTATATGTGAAAGTAGTTTATAATGGTAAAGAGTTGCATACGGGTAGTATCTGTATATTTTTATAATTGGTGGTGTTTGGGTTGTAAGTAATTAGAACTAAACTGTGCTGCCTCAAAAGCACAGTGAATATATACAGAGCGTTTTGGAAGAAAATAAAACAACTGTTAAATAATGGTTACCATTTGGGGTAGGACATTTTTTTTCCTTGACAGACTTTAGGTGGCAGCCATACGTATCTTTTAAATTTAAGAAAACAATATGTAATTTCATGGAGCTTTTTTTTCCTATAATGAAATGGGAGAAGGCCAAAGGGAAGGAACTGGGAAGAAGCAGATATTCTTTTAGCAATAATAATGTGTCCTTCTTCAGTTCTAAAGGTCCTCACCCTGGTGATCCTCATAGTTCTTCCTTCCAGTGGATATTAATGTGAGCTTATCCCTAGCAATAAAGCATCAAGATTTAGAAAACAGAAATACTTAAAATTGTTTGAAGAAGCCCCTGAATGTTCAATACTGAGTGCTTCTGGCATCAGCAGCCAGCACTAAACCCAAACGACTGCACCCGTGAGCCCAAGAACGACCTTCGTATTCAAGTGGCATCCCTCTCCTCGACATCCCTATCAGGCAAAAGGTGTGTGCCTTCCTCAGTTGGTTTACTGGCTACCATTTCCCTCACTCTCTCTCTTCTTCTTTTTTTTTAGGTAATCTATTTAAAAGCTCATAATCTGTTCTATAAATATCTCAACACTTACGCCTAAAGGCCCCCCAAAAATCTGGAGGTGATACACTGAACAGGCAGAAGGCCTCTGAATACCTGGTTATTAAGGACTCCTTTAACCTCAGTCTCCCACAAATTAGGGGGAAAAGCATTTATCTTTGTGCAAAATGAACTATTCCCACAGACTGGGCACAGTGGCTCACGTCTGTAAATCTAGCACTTTGGGAGGCTGAAGGTGGGAGCATCACTTGAGCTCAAGAGTTTGAGACCAAGAGCAGCTTGGGCAACATAATGAGACCCCATCTCTACAAAATAAAAATAATTTTTTTAAATAGCTAGGTGTGGTGATGTGGGCCTGTCGTCTCAGTTGCTCAGGAGACTGAGGTGGAAACATCTCTTGAGCCCAGGAGTTCAAGGCTGCAGTGAGCTATGTTGCACCACTGCATGCCAGCCTAAGTGACAGAGCAAGACCCTGTCTCAAAAATAAAAATAAGTAAATAAATAAATTCCTCCCCCTCTATTCAGTGAACTCTCAAGTTTCCACCATGGATTGTGGTGTCACACTCCATCCTGCCCCATTTGCTCTAGATTCCCAACAACGGGCACATACAGAGTACAGACCACCATCCTCACTATTGCCACCACCTCAATCCACGTGTCAGGCTCCCTCTAATGCCATCCAGGAGGCTGGTCAGGAGGAAATGGTCCAGGTGAAAAGGATTCCAGAATAGTGAGCTGCTACAGCAAATGATATAGTAATTCCTCCAAAACTAAAGATACAATTACCATATGATCCAGCAATCCCACTTTTAGGTATACACCCAAAAGAATGGAAAGGTGCATAAGGGTAATTTGTACACCCATGTTCAAAGCAGCATTATTTGCAGGAGCCAAAAGGTGGCAGTGACCCAAGAGTCCCTGGATGGATGAATGAGTAAACTAAATGTGGTACACATGTACAGTGGAATATTATTCAGCCTTAAAAAGGAAGGGAATTCTGACACATGCCATGACATGGATGAACCTTGAGGACATTACGCTCAGTGAAATAAAACGGTCTCAAAAAGACAAATATGGCATGATTCTACTTCTGTGAGGTACCTACAGTAGTCAAATTCAGAAAGACAGAAAGTAGAATGGTAGTTACCGGGTATGGGGGTGGAGGGAAATAGGGAGTTGCTGTTTAATGGGTATTGAGTTTCCGTTTTTCAAGATGAAAGAGCTCTGGGGATGGATGGTGGTGATCATTGCGCAACAATCTGTACTTAACACTGCTGAGCTGCACACTTAAAAATGATTACAATGATTAATTTTATGTTATGTATATTTTACCACAATTTTTTTAAAAAGGATGCCAGAATCTTGCATGTCCTTCTCTGGAGCCAAGAGCATTGCACAGCCAGCCCGCCCGGGTTCTCTAAAGTTCAACTTCAGCAGGCCAGCCCAGGGCATACTCAAAATCTTCCCATGGGCAAATCTCTTCCAGCCAATGGGAACCTTTCAAAATCTACATTTCCATAGCCACATAATTAAGAACTAAATCTCACTCCCAATCACGTTGTAGAATTGTTTTAGATATAACAAGGTGTCCACCTAGGTAGAACTTTAAGAAGTTTCCAGTGGCGGTAATGTTCTGTTTCTTAATCTAGGTGATGGTTACGTGAGCATATTCACTTAGTAATAATTCATAGAGCTGTACACTTAGGATTTGTACACTTTTTAGTTAGACTTCATTTTCAGACCTGTTTTGCTATTTCTTGCATTATTCATGGCGTCTCACAAGATGACAAATTCTCAAAGTCCTCACAGAGCCTAGCAGGGTGCTAGGCTTCTAGCAGGAGCATGAGTTATGTCTATTGACACCATTAAAATTTGGAGATCTGGGGAGTATCAGAGAGAGAAAGACAGTGCACAGGGCACTGGGATAGTTTTGCAATGTCCTTCTACATCAGGGAACCAAAAGCATTCTGACCCCAAAGCTGCAGGTCAATAACGCAACCAACTTCATCAGCACAGGCCAGTAGAAAGAGGAAACTCAGCTGTGCTGCTGATAACCCATGTCTTAGGAAAATAACCCTTCTGATTTTAAAAAGATAGTTACGTGCATACACACACCCCAAAAGCTCGACTCTAGCCTCAACATGAGAGGAATTAATGTGATGGGATAAAAGTTAGTGCCTATTTTAAGAGGCAGTGACAACTAAAATAGATTGCAGATGGCAAGCTCTTCTGAACCCTGTAATAAGTCTATGATGGCCCATTCTCCAGGAAGCCAAAGTTGGAGCCAGAACTCCATGGTGTTGGAAATGCTGACAGCAATCATTTACTCCAAGAAACACAAGGGCTGGCCCTGAAGCGGAAGTGCTGGAGAAAAGCACCCCCGAAGGGTTGTGATGGACCCCCTCAAAAAAGGCCACAGTGGGAGGGATCAGTTTGATCTCCAATTGGAGTAGTCCTTTGAACTCTGACGCTAAGCTTTAGTGCAATGTGGTGCATTGGGGGTTGTTTCCATTTCAGCTGTTTCTCCATATGCCAGAGAGGAGAGTCGTGCCTGGCAGGCCTGGGCCAGCAATATCTAGAACACAGGCCTGGCTCCAGGAGAAGCCAGAAGCCTCCCCTCCTCCATCATGGTCCCTCTGTATGTGGGCAGAGAAGGAGGAGGGGGATCAAGGATCCAGGAGGAGGATTTGGTGCCAGGGAGATGACTAAGGTCTGACGCAATCACCACACGCATGTGGGACTCGTGAGATAAACAGATCTGGAGGGGGAACCAGTGCTCCAGGCTTGACCTTGGGGTGCCTCCCAGCCCCCATCTCGGTCCCTAGGCCCATTTAAGATGGAAGGTGAACCAAGATGCCCTGAGTTCTCATTTTTCTCTCTCTTGCTGGTTTTCTCTTGTTTGACAAATCGAACCGAACCCCAAAGGAAAAAAATGGGAAGGAGGGAGGAGGACTCCTTCCCATGCAGATTTATGGCATTCTGGATGCAGCTTGCATTTGTCAGGCCAAAATGGTTAGGGTGGGCTAATAGAGTAGAATTACAGCTTCCTATAATAGGGAAAGTTAAATAGACAAGCTTTCCTACCCTGAAGAGAACGAGGCAGAGGTCAGTGCTACTGGCTTTGAACATGAATGGCCCCTTCCCCTCGGTTCCCTTTCACATGTGGCCTGGCAACAGTAGCAGACAGATGCGACACAAAGCCAGACACACCTGATTAACCATGAATACAACAGCTGTCGTTTCCCCACCACCACAGATACCCACACCCTCGTTCTTTCCGCTTAGTTTTTTCCCTTTCTTTCAGCTAAGCGTGAGGAAATCAAACCTACCATTAAAACTCAAGTTAGTGGGAGGGTGTCAGCAGCCGGGCCTTTGTTTCTCTGCTCACAGACATGTAATAGGTACCTTCAGGGTTGTCCTTTCATCTGAAAATGCGTTGTGGTCTCCCGCTGAGGGCTCAGTCAGCTCAAAACCTGAGCCCCCAGAAAGGCCAGCAGAGGGTGGGGGAAGATGAAGGTGGCCTGAATGGGGACGGAGAAAGTGGACTTTTCTGGGGCACCTGAGTTTGTCTCTCTTCTCCTCTCTCCTCCTTTCCATCCGCTTGCCTCCATCCAACTACCACTCCCTGCTGCTAAAAACATCCACCCTTAAGATGGACTGGCTGTTCTGAATTTATCAAGAGGAAGTGGAACTCAACGTAGCATTGTCTTTCTGCAGCTTGCTTATTTCACTCTATTCTGAGCTGGTCTTAACAAAGAAGAATCAGGTCAGGTGGCTTTAGGGGTTTTTCTATTTGCCTCTCTTAGGTAGACAAATCCTTGAGTTCAAGTTAACTTCCAAGACCTTGCAAATCAAACACAGGAGGGAATCTAAGTGTTGAACTGCAAATGATTTCTAACGACATGAACAAAATGTAATGTGACTATATGAGCTTCCGGAAACCTACAGAATGGTAATTACAGCCCAGAGTATGAATCTTGATTTTTCTTCAGGTGTTCTTTTTCGTATTGTTTTGTTTTGCTGGGCAATCTCAAATTAACCATTTGACCTCTGTAAGCCTACATTTCTACTGCTTAAAATGGTTCTCTCTTTTGTCAAAAAGTCCCTGAAGCTATTACAAAGAGACTAATAAAAACGATCAGAAATCTCTTTGCAAACACTAAAACTTATAATAATAGGATGGATAACTGGGTAACTTAATCTCATAAAAAGTCAACAATATCCCTTATTTTCTCACATAAATGAAAACATAAAGGAATAATTCAGGCTCTCATTTGAAGTCTCATGGTTTCTAATGAAGGCCCAGGTCCACTGTATACTTCTGCCTTCTACTAAGAACTCATGGAGATTTCCCACTCAAGATAATCAGGAAGAGGAAGTATAATGGAAATGTCTAGGAAATTTGGTGTCAGGTAACAGAGAAGTCCCCAGCATCACATTTGTGTAGGACATTGGAATTTGTTCTAGAACACAAAAGTATCCTCCGGTGGTTGGTAACTTTAGACTCATCTTCTAGCCAATTAGAGAACAGTCATATCCACTATCAAATCAACCCAGAGGTCCCATCTCAGAATAATGTGAAAAGGCCCTGTTCACTTTGCCGTCGAAACCATCTCACAACTCTTCTCCTAGTATCCAAATTTCTCTTTCTCTTGCTTCACAGAACTCACGGTTTAAGCAGAGCAAGCCTGTCTGTTTTCAATTCTTAACTTTTCACACATGGCAAACGAGTGGAACTTCTGAGCACTGCGATCATCTGGCTGATGAACAAGCTGTTTTCCATTTCTGGCAACAAATACTTCTGGCTTATCGTGACGGGATGAAAAGGGATGAAAATATACTCTGGTTGGATATTGTTGATAACATTTGTCATCTTTGCAGCTAAAAAAAGCTGGCTTAAAATTTTTTCCTTTGGTGTTGCAGAAAAATGGCAAAAGAAGCGACATCACCGTTGAGTTGCCAATTAAATTGCATTCCTAAATGAAGTAGGTTAGTGAGATCTTTTCCATAAGAAACGCAATGTCACATCCTGAGATAAAGTAAGGACTGGACCAGGAGGCAAGGTCTGTGGGGCCTGGGCCTGGGGCTCCACTGGTGCACGTGGTGTCTTTTAAAGGCTCGCTTTACATGTCTGAACCTGTCTCCCTCTGTATTCCCTTGCTAGGGCCGCCATAATAAACACCACAAACTGGGTGGCTTATACAACAGAAATGGATTTCCTCACTCTTCTGGAGGCTAGAAGTTTGAGAGGTGTCAGCAGAATTGGTTTATTCTGAAGCCTCTCTCCTTGTTGTAGAGAGTCATTTTCTCCCTGTGCCCTCACACAGTCTTCCCTCTGTGTTTGTCTGTGTCCTCATCTTCTCTTCTTACGAGGACACCAGTCAGATTGGATTAGGGCCCACCTTAATCATCATCTTGGAGTCTAAAAAACCAGTGAAGAAAAAGAGGAGTCATGGTTACCAATGTTTCAGGCTAAAGTTGCTTTAGTTCCAGTCTCTCATTTTACAAATGAAGAGACGGAGGCCTCAAGACTCGCCCAAGGTCGTCAGTGATAAGCTGAGACTACAGAGGATGTCACCATGGAAAACAGGTAGACAGTTTCCAGCTCTGATCTGTGCAGCCTTTGTGCAATATGTTGAGGTAAGAGGGTAGAAGACAATAAGGTCTTGTATCATTTTTTAAAATTGGAAAAAGGTCAAGTTTCTGAAAGTGAAGACCTTTGAAAAATATACTTTAGAAGGCACAGAGCAGGAAATGTGTGGTGTGAAGCTCTGGGCTCACCACAATGTATGATGGGCTGTATTCCTTTGCTAGGGCTGCCTTTACAAAGTAACATAGATTGGGGGGCTTAAAACAACAACCGTTTATGTTCTCACACTTTTGGAGGCTTGAGTTCTGACATCAAGGTGTCAGGCACTTGCTCCCTCAGAAATCTGTAGAAGAGAACCCTTTCTTTGTTTCTTCTAGCTTCTGGTGTCTGCTGGCAACGTTTGGACTACAAATGCATTATTCTGTGAAAGGAAAATAAATCTCAGGACCCCAAAATCACTAAGCCAAAGGGAAAAGTCAAGCTGGAAACTTCTTAGAGCAAAACTGCCTCCCATTCTATTCTTTAAAAGATAGCTACTAAGATAAAAGAGCTACGTACCTCCCTTACAATTTGTCCACAAGGAATTTCCTTGCCTCCTTTGGGAAGGCTAATCAGAAACTCAAAAGAATGCAACCGTTTGTCTCTTATCTACCTATGACCTGAAAGCCCCCTCCCTGCTTTGAGTTGTCCAGCCCTTCCAGACCAAACCAATGTACATCTTACATATATTGATTGATGTCTCATGTCTCCCTAAAATGTACAAAACCAGGCTGTACTCCGACCACACTGGGCACATGTTGTCAGGATCTCCTGAGGCTGTGTCACAGGCAAGTCCTTCACTTTGGCAAAATAAACCCTAAATTGACTGAGACCTGTCTCAGATGTTTGGGGTTCACAATTCCAATCTCTGCCTCTGTTATCATATGGCATTCTTTCTGTATGTCTCTGTCTCAGTGTCTAAAGTTCCCTTTTAAGGACACCAGTTATATTGGATTAAGGGCCCATCCTACCCCGATATGACCTTGTCTTAACTGATTACATCTGTAATGACCTTATTTCCAAATGAGGTCACATTTCAAGGTACTGGGGGTGGGGACTTCAACATATCTTTCTAGGGGACACAGTTCAACCCATAACACATGCATCCTGCAGAGCTTCCTGCTCTCCCTGGAGCCTACGGTCATGAGCTGCTGACCCTCCCTCACTTCCCAGACATTGCCAGCACACGACTCATGACCAAACAGTGCTCCTCCAAGACAGAACCCTGGTGACTCGCAGTGCTGCAGACAGGCAGTACGGAGGGGTGATTAAGAAGACATTGTCATTTAAAATAAAACCACACAGTTCTTTTGTAAATATGTGTCACTGGGTATTTAGAACCATCATACCCAACCCACTGCTGCACGTTGGTGGAAATGTCAAGTAAGTTACACACTCACGTCTTTTCTGGGGAGCCTTTTATTCACGGTTCTCCCTGAGTTTGATTTCCTGAGGGAGTGTGCTCACCCGCCTCCGTTTCAGCATCTAACCTTGCCTGTTTCTAAAGTTCATGCTGTCCTGACATTCTTTGCATCAGCACAGTCACCCCTGTTAGTCATCTCCTACCAATTTTCTCTCTTTGTACTCTTTCAGGAAGTCATGTTTTTGCTCAGGTAAAAGAGGTGTAGGAAGAGCGTTCTGCCTATTTGATGATTCATCTCTTTGCTTTTTGCCATTTCTAAATGTTAGGGGGGAAAATCCTTTTGTTACGGGCTTTAGCGAATGGGCTTGGTCAATGGGGTGAGAGAAGCTGCCATAAGCCACTTTCAACTTAGAGCAGAAGCAATCTTTTATCGGTCTTTCTTATTCTTTTGAAGACTAGCATCGTGATTCTCAGGGCCACTGGAATCCACGAGACTGACTTCCCTGAGGAGAGACTGCCTTCTAATGGCGTGACCATCTGCTCCACTTCCTTCGTGTTTGGTCAGTGAATCACGGCAAGTCACAGGCCACCTGAGCATTCTACTCACTTCTTTTGGATGCATCCAGGCCAAAGGCTCAGAGTGTGTTTGAGTTGAGATAGATCTGAGCATATTCAGTTAAATGAGGCCCTCAAAGAGTATGATGGGGAATTATGCCCCACTGCCTCCCAAACTTCAAATGTTGAAGCCCTAACCCTTAGAGCCTCAGACAGTAACTCTATTCGGAGATAGGGTCTGTAAAGAGGTAATTAAGAAAAGGAGCAAAAATGGAGCAAGTTTCCTTCTCCCTTGCGCTATTTCTAAGGTCATGTTATAAAAATCAAATGGAGAATACCTGTCAAACAGTTGATCAAGCAGTGAGGAGAAAGAGAAATAATATTAATTCAAAGGGCATGCTTCAACCCATAGTCAGAACAATCTATTAGTTAATCAAGCAAGATTTATTGATACTCACCAAGAGACTGAATATACAAATGGACAACGGCCAAGCCATAATTAAAAACAACTCCAACCTACAATCTACAGCAGCCAGCCCAGGACACCAACCCATTAGCAACAGCAATCGGCCCAGGAAGCCAGCCTGCTATCATCAGCCAGACCTCTAGAAGTCTAACCACTATCTCTATCAACAAGTTAGGAAGCCAAACAATAACCCCTGTAAGAATCAGCTCCAAATGGCCAGAACTTGACTGACAATGGACAGCCTCCCTGATTTTTGTCCCTGCTTCCAACTTAGGACAAACCAGAGAAAGGCAAATATGCACCCTAAGCAATCACATAGGCATCTGTGCTTCTAGTGAACCACCTCCAGCTTCCCACACCAACAGCCTCCAATCAGCACATACCTGGAGCCTCCCTTTTTTCTACTATGAAGTTTTCCCACTCCTCTGCCCGCATTTGAGTCTCTGCCAAAACACAAACGATAGTAGCTCTGAATAAACAGCCTGTGCTTATTCTTATTTGGTTGGTCTTCATTTATTTCCACACTTCCAAATGCAAGTAAATGTTATGCTAGGCCCTTGAATGGTCAGGGAAAATACAAGGAGATATACGACATGGTCCTTATGCCTAATAAACTTAAAATCTTTGGGACTGGAGATAAAATGCACAAAAAGCAAGAACCACCACCACAATGACTAAGCAAATAATAAAGCCAGTCAGGAATAGTAAGTCTCAAATGCAAGTTCCAGATACTGGACGTAGAAGTCTGGAGAAGAGAGATTACTTTTGGCTGGGGAGGTCAGATATGAACTGAACTTCAGCACACACAAAGGAATTATTCTAGTAATTATTGGGTTCCCCCTTGCTCACATGGTTACTCACACTTGAAAGTTTGCGGTAACAAGAAGGAGCCTTGGCAGGAAGTTTGTTTGTTCCATGACTGCTTTTACTGTCACATGAAGAGTGAGTGGTTGATTTACTGAGAAGTCCCCCTTGTTACCCTTCATAAGCCCCAAGTGAGTCAGGACCTTCCCTTGGTCATCAAACTGGAGACAGGACACCCTTGCCCAGTTAGCATTTTAGTTCAGCTTGCCTGGGTTCTCATTCCAAATTCCTGCCCCCAAATCCTTGGTCACCCCCAAGAGTAGATCTTTATCCACAACAGGCCACTGTTGAACCTAAGGTTTCCCAGAGGAAACCAGAAAAGACTTCCCTTATGTTGGGGTTTTAGGGTACCCAATAAATAGGACCCCTCTTTCCTGCCCAACTTCTGAGCCAATTAAGAGGAATAGGAATCAGGCAGATAGAGGGAAAATATCACCATTCTTTTAAGTTGACAAAGTCTTGGTTGGTGGCTATCATTTCAGGTCCTTGGGCTTGTTAATATTGTACCACTGATGGCAAACAGAAACTTTGCAACATGGAGATTTACCACTTAAAAGTTAAGGCTTGGAGGGGCAGAGGATGTTTACTTTCCTCAGGCTCTTCCCAGAGAGAAAGGAATAGGTGAGGCGTACATCTTCCATTGCTTCTCCCAGGCCGACTGAAGTTCCTCTTCCTCCAATGAAGTGAAGGAGAGAGAGGATGCAGGCGGCCAGGGGATTTACTCAATGGAAACATGTCCCCAATAGAAACAAGGACAGCAGGGAACAAATGTTCCCATCAGCTACCTACAACAGGTAAGGCTAAGTCTCTGTGGGGTTGAGGTCCCTTGCCCCCAGCGCACATACACACACACACACACACACACACACACACACACACACACAGCCACCAATGCCATGCTCATGCTTTGTATAGTTTTGGGATTTGTGACAACTTTTAAGTCTGAGGGGAATGAATGTACTCATGAAGAAAATCTCCACCGTTAAGGAAATGCCCTTGGTGTGGACTAGTGCTAGAGGCACAGACCTTGAGTAGGGAGTCCTGAATTCCTATCCCAGTGCTGAGTTAAGCAGCTCTATAGTTATTCAAGGTCTCTTGCCCTCCATGTGCTCTGTCCTCAGTTATGCACTGGAGATCAGAATACCTGTCCTGCCAAGTGTGTGAAAGACAAGATAAAACCAGAAAGGGCCTCTGAATAACCCAGCTCCACTTCACAGAAGCACTGGGGTGGTTCCATATTCAGAGAAAATAGTAATGTTTTTCTTGAAAAATAGAGTAGATGTGAAGCAACTTTCTGTCACTTCTCAGTACTTTTTTAGCACCAGAGAGTTTATCCAAGGTGGACCCCATCAAAGTGAAACAGAAGGGAGGGGTGGGGAGGTCCCCCTAACCCATAAGCTTAAGGGTTGGGTGTTACTGACTCCATTTGGAGAACACGCAG
The DNA here is from genome assembly GCF_000001405.40 of Homo sapiens. Lineage (NCBI taxonomy): Eukaryota > Metazoa > Chordata > Mammalia > Primates > Hominidae > Homo > Homo sapiens. The sequence continues at coordinate 14,736,375 of NC_000006.12, forward strand.
CCAGGGGCTTAATGACACATTTTGATTGATTACACTGGTAACTCTGAAACCTGGTACAGATTACCTTTTGCCCTCAGTGGGGCTTTACCTGAATCATTCCTCTAGAGCAAGAAAGCTGAACATCATTACTTTCAGAGTGATAAATCAGAGAAGGGTAGGAATTGAAAGGGCACTCGACTTTTTCTTCAACTTCTTGAAGAATAAGACTACTAGAGGATTAGTCCTTGGCCACCACTTTTTTGTAATTCCCTGGGCAACAAACTAGTCCTCGACCTAGATGGAAAAAATGGTGAGAAAAAAAGGAAGGGGAGAACAAAGAATGAAGGAAGGGGAGGAGAAGAAAGAATGAAGGAAGGGGAGAGCAAAGGAAGACCAGTCTTACGAATACAGGACAAGAGGAAAAATAAAGTTCAGAATTCTTTCAACTCACTGGAATTTCCCAAGGTGCTTAAAGTGACAGGAACTGCATGGGACCTCAAAGTGAGAGCCTTGTTTATGGGTGTATACATAGAAAGGTTCAATAGGAATGTCCCTTCAATTGGAAGATATAGAAGAGCCTGTATTATTTCATTTTTGTCAATAACGCTCTCATTCAAATCCGTAGTTCACCCTCTTCCCCATGCTATTCTGCCTACTATGTGATCCCCTTTCACACTTGCTCATTCACCATGTACCAAAAGCCAAGCACTGGGAATGGTGCTGCAGACACAAAGAAAAACAACGTACTGCCTCCTACCCTCAGGGAGATCCCGGTCACTGGGGGAGACGCTAGGACCATGCTCTGCAAGAGTGCAATGGGAGAAGTGCTTAAGGAGAAATTAACAAAGAGCAATCAATAGCCCAGAGGATGGGACTCTAACTTAGGGACTGAGGTAAGGGGTCATAGGACGGGTACTCAGTTACATTCCCCAAGAAACAGAGACAGATTTGTGTGCAAGAGGTGTCCTGGATCAGTGCTCACTTGTAAGAAAGTGAAGGAGACAGGACTGGGCAGAGTGAGAGATGCGGTCGCCAAAGAGGCCTCGGCGGATCCCACAGGAAGTCAGCTCTGAAGCTGGAATAACCTTTCTGAGGGGACACGAATTGAGACAAGGGAGTCAGATCGTGGTACCCTGCATTCACTACTCCTTAGATGTGGGCAGTCCCACAAGGGGGAGGGTCATAACCTCAGACACAGCTGCTGCCTTGGACCAAGGGCAATTCTGGGAGAGGGATCCATGTATGAGCCTGCAGCAGGCAGCACCCTAGCACTGGGGAAAAGGGCACCCTGCGCCTGAATAGGAGATGGGACAGCAAACCACAGCATCCACTACAGGAGACTTTCTAAAACGGGAGCAGCCGGGGTGTTCTGGAGTGTGCAAATACTGACAAGGAGAGCAAAGTGTCCTAGGCAGAAAAAACACCAATGGGACCTTCAAGGAGCATCCGGCTTTAGGAAAACTACGAGAGCTTCAGCATGGCTGCAAGGCAGGGCAAGGGGAGGGGAGTGGGGAGAGATGGGACAGGAGAGTGGGCAGCCAGATCCAAAAGAACTCCACTTGCTGAGCTGAAGGGTCTGGATTTTGTCTTGGAAATCAGGGCAAAGTCAGAGAAGGATTTTCAATACTGTTTATAAAGTTATTTTCTAATTTATATTCATAAAGTTTGGGAGTACAATTAAGTACAAGGAGAAAATAAAATACACCTATAATCCCACCACCCCAATATAACCATAATTAACATTTTGATGGTTTCCTTTCTGGTATTTTTCTATTTATAGAGATACATATCTAGGCAGAGAGAGAAAGGTTTTCAAACAATCAGGCAGAGATTTTACCATATACTTTGTATGTTGCTTTTCTGGTTTATATCATAAGCATCTTCATGTCATTTGTTTCCAGATCTTCGTCTACAATTCTTATTGTATCACTGAGATAAATTCCCAAAAAGAAACACATCAGGCCAAAAGACAGAAACATATTAAGACTGAGAACACCAACATCAAAGGTTTAAAAGATAAAGCTGGATACATGGAAATGTATTTTCTTTATTGCCTTTATTTCTTTTTAACTCGCCTCTGTCTTCACTGGAGAACATAGGGAGAAATTCAAGCAAGTAACGGGTGTTCCAGTTCATCGAGGGTCTGTCATGATGGCTTATGAGGTCATGACACAGACCCACAGGGATTGCACAGACATGCTGAGACCGAACAGCATTGCAAAGATCATGTCAGGTAATACCTATGTGCCACATCCAAAACTTGGTCTGTCTTGACCCTCACTCAATTGGAGTATTCAGGTCTCATTTTTTTCCTTCCCCTTGGAAATGATCCAAAAGTACAAGGCCTAGCATCAGATGACCTTTAAGACCCCTTCTCCTCCTGAAATTCTCTGATAGTTATCTCTGTGAATGTTCCTCACAAGTGAGCTACATTGTATTGGCAGCGCTTTCAACTTAATGCTCCTTCCCCTAAGGCAGAGGGAAGAACCTATAAGCCTTCTATTGACATAACAGAAATTGCCCCAAATGCTCTTGAATTTATCTTTATTTGTGCTGCTGCCTATATATTACTTTCTCATGGGATATGGCTTGAATTATAGAAACAATCCACTCCTTCCTCCATGGGTTGCCAGCCCTTCCCCAGGGTCCCGGAATACTTCTTTTTGATGTTCATTCCTAATTTTAATCCAAGTGTTATGTTCTGTTGATAGTCCCTGGAGCCTACATCAGACATAATTCTCTCGCAACAGCAAGTTAGGTTCCGGTAATGTGACCAGCTCTGTTCGTTAGAACCCTTCTGACAACAAGCTCTCTCTCTTCGGTCTTCCTGACATGTGTTTATAATTACTTGGAGTTATCTCTATGGCAGCCTGAGTTGCCTTCCATCTGAAGTGGTCCTTGGGGTGGTGCTCATTAGGTTAGCCTGCTCCTGGGCTCTGTTGTTTTTTTAAAATCTGGCATCTCAGGAGGCAAAATGGTCTCATGAAAAGAAGAGCAAATCAGTATCAAAAGGTCTAGATTCTTGGCAAAGTTCTGCCAGTAACAATCTACATGACGGGAAAATTTGCTTCCCATCTACTCAATCTCTCTGAGTTGTCATAAGGATAAAATAATACTCATCAAGACACAAAACAGCATGCACAGTTGCATAGATGAAGATGACATTTTATTGCTGCAATCTTGTTGATATGAAAAGGTGAGAAATAATGTAGTCCATAAAACAAGTGTATTCATTCACAAAATATTTATTAATCCTACCTGAGAAAACAACAGGCACTTGGAGAACAAAGAAAAATGGGATATAGTCAGGTATACAGTCAAGGGTTCAGCGACCAGAAGGAAAACGGACACACAAACAAACACTTGTCGCAGTGAATAGCACTGTAATGGACTTATATAATCGATGTGGGAGCACAGAGGAGGAAGCAGCTAGCCCTGCCTAGGGAGGTCAACAAAACAACAGGCAACAGGTAATCTTCCAGCAGAATCTTGAAGGATGGAAAAGGCCCAGGCAGATAAATCAGGAAAGAAAACATCACTTATAAAATCTCCACAGCAAGTACAGAAAACCAAAAGTCCATCAGCATGCAGGAGTACCGTGGGTGTGTCAGGAAATACTAAGTCTGGAAGCAAGGCCGGAGCCTTGTTCCCCAGCATGGGCTAATGCATTTGCCCTCTGGGCAAGATGGAGCCAGTGACATGCTTTAAGCATGGATGTATTAGTCATGGTCCAGTCAAGAAACATATGGCACATTGAAATCGGTAATTTAAGACACGTTTTGTTTGTTTGGTTTTGGTTCTTTTGAGACTGTCGCCCAGGCTGGAGTGCAATGGTGTAATCTCGGCTCACTACAATCTCCGCCTCCCAGGTTCAAGCGATTCTCCTGCCTCAGCCTCCCGAGTAGCTGGGATTACAGGTGCACGCTGCCACACCCAGCTAATTTTTTATATTTTTAGTAGAGATGGGCTTTCACCGTGTTCCCCAGGCCCGTCTCGAACTCCTGAGCTCAGGCAATCCACCCACCTCGGCCTCCCAAAGTGCTAGCACTTTGTACAGGCGTGAGCCACCACACCAAGAAGAGTTTATAAAGGAATTATGTTTAAAGGTGTGGGCAAGGTAGGGAAACCACAGAGGGCACTGTTGCCATCCTTAGGTTTGGAAGGGTAAAGAAAGAAATGGGTACTAAAGCTTGGAGGAGAAAGACATGTGAAGAAGGCATCTGATGGAAGCTGTCAGCATCAGTTGAGAGATGCAGCCAGCCAGCAGTGACCCCCAGGGAAAACGTTAGGGAGGTAAATGCCCCCTCACCACTCCATCTTTCCCATCTCACCAATGCTCCCCATTGACCAAACCCAGCCAGAAGCCACAGGGCAATAGAGCTTTGGAAGAAGAAGACAGAGTGGAGAAGGATGGGCCTGGAGGCACAAGGGAAAGCTACCAAGCACTAGGCAGGTAACACCAGATTACAACATCTGCCAGAAAGCAATGTGGAGAAAGGGAGCTGAAGAGAAGGCAGGGGAAATGTAAAGGCATAATCCAGGGAAGAAATGATGGGGATTCAATAAAGCAGTGGTGGTGGCAATGAAGGGTATGATGGACTCAGAGATTTAGAAGATACAATCTAAGGAACTTGGTGGCTACTCACTGGGATCTCCCAAAAGTTATTTCTTGTGCATGTACAGCTCTCCAGGTGATAACTAAAACAACAAGGAAACAAGACGATTATGAGGGATACAGCCTGCCATTTTGGATGTTTGAGACTCACCTTCCTTGAAGCAGCTCTTCTGAGCGGTGGCACCGATCCTTGGATTTGGAAGCCACGAACCGTGCTGAATGTCTCAATATTCATGATCTCAGGAGAAGCATGGCAACTCTAGTGAGTTTCATCATGGCCCCAAAAATATAGGTCCACATCCTGGAATCTGTATATGTGACCTTATTTGGGTAAATGGTCTTTACAGACGTAATTAAGAGATGAGATGAGATTACCCTGGATTATTGAGGTGGGCCCTAAATCCAGTGTCCATAAGTGTCTTTATGAGAGACAGAAGAAGGAGAAACAGAGAAGGTTATGTGAAGATGGAGGCTGAAAACAGAATAGTCTCAGGAACACGGGAGCCACCAGAAGCTGGAAAATGATGAAAGGATCCTCCCTCAGAACCTTTGGAGGGAGCGTGATTTCAGACTTCCAGCCTCCAGAACTGTGGCACAATAAATTTCTGTTGTTTAAGCCATCAGTTTTTAGTAATTTGTTATGGCAGCCCTAGGGAATTAATACAGCAATAAACAGCAACCAAGAAAAACCAAAAGCATATTCTGAGGGTCTATGTTATGGTCTGTAAGTAAATTGAAGCCAAACTTACACTTCATTTTTTTTTTCCCTGTGGCAAACCTGTCTGGTGAGCCGGGGTAGCGCCTGGCTAAAAAAGTCCATGTTTTAGGTTGACTAAAGCCAGATAGCAAAGTTTTAAAATTCCACATTTACATCCAGAGATGTGCACAACACTGTGTGGCACTCACAGCACAACCAGGCAAAATCAGTTACAACTACAGAAAATTTCTGAAGTTCGGCCAACACTCACCACCACCTGCCCCCAGAGCGATCTTGCTACCACCAGGTGAAACTCTTGCTCCTTTCAGCATGCAGCCAGGCATGTGCCTTTAACTTTAGCTGTCTCTCTCACAGGCACAGGTTAGCCCCAGAAGAAAAATGCAAGGACTAAACTTGCTTACTTGAGGTCATGTGTTCTAGATGCTGCAGTTGGCCCAAATAAAATAAAATCTACATAAAAGACAGGTAGTCATAGACACGTTGAAACATGCTTGAAGGTGATTCCAAATATGTTGATATCAACATTGGCTTTGCCAACTAGGCTTTGTCCCTTTATGACAAATAACTTCAGAGACACCCTGGCATATCCAGGTATAAGAGTTTGGCAGAAAGGGTTTTAATTTGTTGCTTGGGTGTCTATGCTTGGGTGGTGTCATTGAACAAACCGGAGAACCCAGTAGGAAGAGCACATTTGATGAGGTAGAACAAAGCAGTGACGGCTGCCATCTTGGATTTGTTGTATTTAAAATGCATAAGGTTACCAAATATATCTGGAGCTTAGGAGTGAAATTTGAGTGAACAACCCAGGTAATTGTTGTTTTCCCCTGTAAAAGCAGAAATTGTTTACATCTTTTTGATGAATTTCTTTCTAAATATCATTGCATAGAACCTGATTTCACTTCTGTATAGCTCAGGGCTTGCTCCTTCTTACCAAAAGCAAGATTTCCATTTGAATACACCTTGCTTCCAAGTTGCCCACTGACCCCACTCTTAACTCCCAGAGTACCCCCTTGGTAGTCTAAACCTGTAAAGGTAATTCCATCCTCCTTATTAGAGTTGAAGATTGGCCGTGTCACCCAGTTCTAGGCAACAAGATGGGATGGCTAAGAGGCTTCTAGGAAGGAGGTACATTGCTTTTCCGGAAGAAGTACTAGAAACCCGCTCTCTCTCACTCACTCGCACTCTCTGGACACAGATAAGGGAGCACTAGCATTAATGTGTTGGCAACCATTCTATGCTCACAAAGACAGCAAGCCCCAGGAGCGAGTGAACCCTCATAGGCAGAGATAGAGGTAACCTGGGGGCTTACAAGCATCAATAAGCCACTGGCCTCTCCTCTCCTGAGCCAACAAGTGTCCTTATCACTTAGGAAAGTTTTTACATTTTCTATGAATTGCCAGTGTAAGCACCCTAACCCATACTGGTTTCTTCTGAAACCACATTACCTGAGACCTTTTCTGGTGAGGATTCTGTCACTGGTCAGTTGTCATTTCTCAGTGACAAATGAGACCACATGCACTAAAGCCCGTAGCCCAATACTTAGCACTCACTAGATGCTCAATAGATGTTAGTTCCTGTCACTTTGTCTTGCTTCTCAGCTTTGATCACTTGCTCTCCCACATCTTCACCATTGCTTCAATGTTTTGTACACTAATGGCCAGGTCCCAGCAGGCCTCCAGATGGCTCAATGGTTAGAAGTCTCACTGCCTAGGAAGTACTGGAACTGGGAACTCCATGATCCACAAACACCAGCAAATGAGAGACGTTGTTTATTAGACTGCTACCATGGCTAGTCACGTCATGGGGGTTCTCACTTTTCCCAGGATTAGCATGAACACCAACACCCAGTAAAATCTGGATTTCAATCATCCAGAGCCAGTTGAAAATGTTTCACTCCTGAGTCATCATTGGCAGTAATCAGTTGTCACATAGCAGATGTTCAAAATAGACTGATTAATAAAGAATTCTGATTATTAGATGATAGTAATAGTGAGAGGAGAGTGAGATGAGAGTGGGCTCATGGTATTGCTAAAGAAGGCCAAGAATGTTGACCAGTAACTTCTCTTGAAAACAGAGCTGCTGTACTTCCCCACTTCGTCTCCCTAAATGGCCTCGTTCCAGGATTGGGCCCATCAGAAATTGAGAAAGAAAGGAGAGAAGGGGGAAGGAAAGAGAAAGAAGGAAGGTGGATAAAAAGAGTTGTGTCTCAAAGTTTCCTGAGCTACAACACTGCCCTAGAATGATCTGTTCTCTAAGGTGTCCTAAGAAATCCTCCCCAAATGGTTGTGGTTTTGTCTTTTTGCTTTGTTGTTTCGAATTCATTCTGATTTGATTGTGAGATACATGAATCTTACAGTAACCTCATGAAACACTTGTGGAGACCTTGGGATATTGTGAAAACATTCTGAGAGCGCTAGCCTGAGAATGCTAGCCTGGGTGGACCACTCCCTCCCGCCTCACCAGTGACTCACTTGGTGACTCAGTGCTTGTCACGCAGAGATCCACTGGGCCCATGTGCAGCTCACCTTCCTCCGCCTACCTTGAGGAAAACTAGGGACTCATTAGACAAAGTGTTCAAACTGTTTTCTGTTCCTCCAGGCATAAGTTATATGTATACAAGGCATTATCATCTCCCACACATTAAGGAGCAGTGGAAATCGGAAGTGGGGAATAGGAGGCTGGGGGCATTGGAGGGGCAATCTTACTTTCACAAAGATGTTAATTGAATGTTACCAGCAAAGCAAAGACCTAGAAATTTCATAAAATAGAAAAGATTCTGATTATTGTTTTCATTATCAAAATTTCTAATTTCTTGAGGACTTTAAAAAAAAGAAGGCGGCCAGGGGCAGTGCCTCACACCTGTAAACCCAGCACTTTGGGAGGCCAAGGAGGGAGGATTGCTTGAGCCCAGGAGTTTGCGACCAGCTTGGCCAACATGGCGAAACCCCATCTCTACTAAAAATGCAAAAATTAGCCGGGCGTGGTGGCATGTGCCTGTAAACACAGCTACTCGGGAGACTGAGGCAGGAGAATTGCTTGAACCCAGGAGGTGGAGGTTGCAGTGAGCCAAGATCGTGCCACTGCACTCCAGCCTGGGCAACAGAGAGAGACTCTATCTCAAAAAAAAAAAAAAAAAAAAAAAAAAAAAAATTTAACCATACGCAGTGGTGCATGCCTGTAGTCCCAGTACGGAGGAGGCTGAGGCAGAAGGATCCCTTGAGCCAGGGAAGTTGAGGCTGCAGTGAGCCATGATCATGCCACTGTATTCCAGTCTGGGCGAGAGAGAGAGAGAGAGAAAGTCTTAATGTGCCAGTGCAAACTTCCATTTCACATATATTAAATCCCCTTTTTACCCTAAAAGACTCTAAAATATCCTGTAATATTTAAATATTTGCACTTTTATTTCTCTCCCATATAATCACCTCAACTTCAGTTTATGCAAATATGTGAAATCTTCAAACATAATAGGAAGCCAAGTTGCTCACAGAAAGGAAACCTATGACAACCTTCATTACTGCATGCCAAAAATGTCAGGCCAATCTACTAATTTACTAGAACCAAGATAAAACCAGCTCAGCCAGCCAGCGCTCAGGAGTTCCCTCTCAAACATATGCAGGGTTAACAAAATATTGAGCCTAAACTCATTTGGAAAATGAGCATGTGTTTTTTTTTTTTTAAGCAGAGGCTGCTTGCTGACCCAGCCTTCCAGTCAAACAGCTAAAACTCAGCTTGTCCTGTTTCCCTTGAGGTCTGAGTTCTAAAGTCCCCTAGTTTCAATACATTTTGCCAGAAATAACTTTAAGGATCTCCTGAACAGGCACCAAAGCTCTTGTAACAATGTAGTCACTTTAAATTAACATCCTAACTTAAAATAACTAAACCTGATTTTTGTTCGTGATCAAAATTTATATTGGAACACCTCCACAGAGGTCAAATTTAACGTATTCACTGACAAACAAGACAAGCAGGGAGGGCATTTACTGACAACCAAGAATTGGAACAGGATGTCAAAAGCAAGGCTGTTTCTGAAAAGAAAATATTAATAGTTTATTTACATTGCCAATCACTGTGGGTTGAACCTAACCCTTAATTAGGCAAAAGAACCAATGGGTAAATCCTCCTCCCCCAAAAGTTTTTCTTTTCCTGAAAGTTCCTTTTAGAAAGCAGCAACCTAGAGGAAAAAGATCTTTAAAAAGGAAAAAGATTATGTGTGTGCCGAAACCTGGAAACAACCAAAATGTCCTTCAATAGGTAAATGGTGGCTCATCCATACTATGAAATACTACTCAGCAATAAAAAGGAGTGAACTATTGATACACAAAATAACTTGGGTAGAATTCAAGGGCATTATGCTGAATTTTATAAAGCCAGTCTCAATGTATCATATACTATGCAATACCAATTAGATAGCATTCTCCAAATGACAAATTATAGACTGCAGAACAGATTAATGGTTGCCATGGGGCTAGGAATGGTGAGTAGAATATGATTATAAAGGGGTTACAATGAGGGAGATCTTTGTGGTGATTAAATAGTTCTGTATCTTGTTGCATCTACACATGCAATAAAATGGCATAGAACTATGCACATGCATTGTACCAATGTCAATTTCCTGGCTCAGATACAGGACAACAATTATGTAAGATGTGATCATTGGGGGAAACTGGGTGAAGGGCACACAGGACCACTCCACACTATTTTTGCTATCATTGCAACTTTTTGCAAATCTATCATTTATTCAAAATTAAAAAGTCAAGAGAAAGCAAGCAAAAAAGGATGAGGGAGGAAGTAACAGAAAGAAAGAAAGAAAAATAAACAACTTGGGATAGATATTGACAACTCCAGAAATGAAAGATGACAGGAAAGTTTGGAGGAGGGGACAGCAGGGTAAATATTAAAGGTTACAGTCAGGCAAGCTGACAACCAGAAACTGTTTGGATTGTAAATTGTAAATGAACTCAGTGGACAGAGAAGGGGAAAGATCATTGAACTGTTACCCCTGAATGACAAGGATAGAAGTGAAGCACTGTGAGCCCAAGACATGGAGTAAATGTGGCAGGAGCAGCTCCAGGAAAGCCCGGTGGGGACGGAAGAGAAAAGGAGGGGGCAGATGTAGTAGCTGATGCTTCCTAGGATGTGACATGCATCAAGCGAGAGAAAGGATGACTGGGGGAAATGTCCGACCTAGGAAGAAATACTGAGAAAAAAAGACATGCCATAGAAATCAGTAAGCTGAGGAAGAAGAGGCAAAATTCTTGGGCGTGAGCAGAATTACTGATAAAATAATGATGACATGATAAAAGAATATCACAGGCAGGGGAGTTGGAAGGAGAAAAGAACTCACTCAGATTTGGAAAGTGACAAAACAAAACAAAACAGTTCTTCAGGGAAGAAAAATAATGAGCAGCAAAATACAAAACACAATGACCTCTGGAAAGGTGTTCCCTGCACAGGTCTAGAAACTCAACAACAGACATCCTGAATTTTCCAGATGCATTTAACAAATATCTTTGAAATATCCCAATACATATCAAGTCTACATCAAGCCTGATTTTCACATCAAAAGACCCCCATGATCATAATGAGCACTATTAATGCACAAATTACACGAAGCTGCAGGAAGCTGAAGCGCCAAAAGGGAGCAAAACGCTGATAAGCCAACTTTTGAGCAAACATCTTGAATTCCCCCAGGGATACGGACCACCAGGATCACCAAACTCTGGTGTCCCCATGAGAATAAGCAATCAATAATATTAAAACCTTAAAATTAAGGTAGTAATTCTAACATCTTAGAATCTGGATTTTAATGTATTTATTTATTTGAGACGGGGTCTCACTCTGTGCCCAGGCTGGAGTGCAATGGCGTGATCTTGGCTAACTGCAACCTCCACCTCCCCTACTCAAGCAATCCTCCCACCTCAGCCTACCGAGTAGCTAAGACTACAAGCTTGTGCCACCATGAACAGCAGATTTTTGTAGAGATGGGGTTTTGTCATGTTGCCCAGACTGGTCTCGAACTCTTGGGCTAGAGGGATTCGCCTGCCTCAGCCTCCCGAAGTGCTGGGATTACAGGCATGAGCCACAGCGCCCAGCCAGAATCTGAGATTCAGTCGTGGGCATAAAGGAATTGTTATCACACAGTGACAGCCCAAGTTCATGGTCTTTACAAGAAATACTGTGAAACCCCCAAGAGGGTAGCCCCTACATAAAGAGAAGGAATAAAGATGGCTGGCCACTCCTCACAGATGGAGAAGTTAAAAAAACAAAATCCCAGTTTCTCTCTCAGCTACTGGGTAAATAGCCATTCAGAATGCTTTGGAAACATTCACTTAAAAATGGGAGAATAATTGATGTCATTCTGAAAATGTGGTTAGACAAGAATTCAATTATCTCCACTGCCACCAAACCCAACCTCCAAGCTTGGATAAGAAGATAGCAAATATTCTAAAAATTAAGAAACCCAAAGCATATGGTAAACTTTGCAAGGTATCATTCCCCAATGAATTATGTTCTTGTGGTAATACAAAAACATCTCATTTTTCTTAGCAGTTGTTTCATGAATGCCTTGCAAAAGAAAGTGTGAGTTTTTAGGGGGAATCCTCTGCTAAACCATAGTGAATGCTGGGCTTCGAGGTCTGTGGGTGGGCTGGTGCCAACGACTGAGAGAGGTGAGAAGTGAAATTTTTCTGCAAAAGAACCATGGCTGAAGGGAAGATTTCTCTAAAACAGAGAATTTGAGAAGCTACTTGGTGGAAGATTTTAAAGACCCAAAGAACAACAGCTGAGAATAGAACTGGGGAGGGACTTCTCACGGTGATTTGGGAAATTAAACTCTGAGCATCACGAGGTGTAAATCCCCTCTTCGGTCTTCCTTATAAAATGTTCAGTAAAGTTTGCATTCTCACTTTTCGAGAGTGAACTTCCTTTGAGAGAAAAACACAGAAGTATAGAGCCCTGCTTCAAGATTGGCACAAGGGCAAAAGCATAGTTGTAGAGTGACCCTTTTATTAAATATTAATTATTTAATATGAGAAGAACCTGAGGAAAACCAAGCACAAAGGAAGAGGGAGGGGAAGGGAGGTGGTGAGATGATTACCTTCTTCTTTTACTAAAATTTAGAATACTTGAGTCACTTACTCTTTCCTGGTTTCCAAACAGGCTCTGTGGAGACGTGTGAGAGCCTAAGGTTTATTACTCGGGTGTCAGCTCATTCATTCCCCACCGCAAACCTCAAGTAGCTTTTAGTATCACAAAGATCATTCTCAGCTCTAATATCTTTTTCCCTTCTCAGTATCTCGAAAGCCTCCTCATCCTCCTCAGAAACAAATCTAGGTGTCTTTAAAAAGATAATATGTTATTTTCTTTGCTCTGTTGCTGCTTCTTCCTGTGGTTATCATCTGATTATAGTTCTTTCCATAAAATGTTACGCTTAACTCTTTTACCAAATCGCCAGATAATCTCATTGCTACTACCTGAAATACTGTTTTTTTCCAGAAGGGTTGGCCATTGTAGGAAGTGAAAAACTGATGTGAGTCCATATATTTATCCCTTTGCAATTACACTCTATCACCGAGGTAGACTAAATCTTCATTTTCCTTTATCCCCAATCCAGACTGTAAGTTTCTTTTTATTTCAAATAGCAAAATAGAATTCAGCACACACAACTGACAGCAATGGATGGGTAGATGTCTGTGTTAGTCTCATTAGCATGCACTTCTGTGAGACTGAAGGAGCAGTTTGCAGAGCCCCTTTTCACAGGGAGCCTGGGCAGCCTTCAGACATGGAACCAGAACTCGTCTTGGAGCAAGAAAGACCTGTCCTCCAATCCTGGCTCTGCCCTTGCCACTCAACACTCTTGACAAAGTTTCCTAACTGCTTGAAAAGTCATTAAAACAAGGATAAAGTTTTCCTTACAGATAACAGGAATGGAAGTTCAAGGCACACAGTGGAGGCTGAATTCCAGGTTGTTCCTTAACCCCAACCACCCAAAGATTAATTGATCAGAAAGAAGTTTTAATGACTCCCTACTTTCCCAGCCAATCTGCTTTCTAATTCACTTTTCTCAACGCTGTCCTCTCTCTGCCATTAATCTGTCCTCTTGTTTGTTCTACACCCTCACCCACAGAGTGTATAATTATCCTCCCAGTTTTCGGAAGAAATGGCACCACAATACTTGCTATAATAGCCATGGTTGTTTGAAGTCCCTGAACAACTGGACAGCAAGTTGTTGATGTGATTGGAGGAGGAAGAATGACAGTGTTAGGTGATGTTCAGTGCAGGACAGCCGTCAGGGTAGATGGCTGATTTTTCCCCAGTTAGTAAAAGGGATTTGTATCCTTCATGTTTCTCCCACAACACATCCAAGATAGTCTTACTAAAATATCCTTCCTCATGCTCTTCCTGCTCAAAAATTTGTCAGTCATCCAACCCACAAATGCCTATTGATTGTTACTGCCATACCGTCCCTCAGTTGTCAATCAAGATGCTGTTTGCTTTATCCCAGCAATAAAGGACTAGGGTACATGCTATGCCCACAAGCCTCCTGCCTTGTCAGAAAGCTTTGTTTTCCAGCCTCTCCAGCCTTCTCCCGTGACGCGGAAGCTCCCATTACAAGAAGCCATCATAAAAGGTTGGAGATAAAACTACTGGAAACAATCTTTTTTTAAATGCCATTTTGCTTTTCTGTAGTCCTTGAGCCAGGCTTTTGTGCTAGCACCACGGTCTCTCTCTGGCCTGTGGCCATTCCTCTCCTCTACTGTTTTCTCACCAAGTCTGACACTGTTTTGCATCTCCCACAGCTGTGAACACAGCACTCTGCAAATACTTTGGTTCAGTGTAGACATATTGTCTTGATTTGATTTCTCCTAGGATCTCAGTAGCTTTGTTGGCTGAACTCTTAGGCCTTTGAGTCACCTGATGGGTAGGGCTGGCAGATTTAGCAAATAAAAATACAGGACGCCCAGTTAAAGTTGAATCTCAGATAGACGATGAATAATTTTTATATGTCCTATACAATATTTAGTAAATATATGCGAACAATTCATTTTTTATCTGAAATTCAAATATAACGGTATATTCTATACTTATCTGGAAAGCTTACTGGTATGTCACCCAAAACCAACCAAGAGATTAATCTCTATGTTTAGTTAGTGACTTCTAGGCAACAGAGATGACCTCTGTGTGGCAAAACTCTGATAATCCCTGATTACGAGAGAGAAGGGGAAGAGTGAATATGGGAACTCTGGCAACAGCATATTCAAATCGTCTGTCTGGCAAAAAAAAGGGCTTTGCCCCATTCTACTGAGTCAAGGTGGCTGATTGCATTTCAAGGGATGGGGCAAGTCGGGGGGGCCATGGAGGCCTGGAGCGAGGAATTGTTGCAAAGCAGTGGTATGCAATAACTGCTCCCCTTCTAAGAAAGTGAATTCTTGCCAGGCCTAGTGTCTCGTGCCCGTAATCCCAGCACTTTGGGAGGCCGAGGTGGGTGGATCACGAGGCCAGGAGATCAAGACTATCCTGGCTAACACAATGAAACCCCATCTCTACTAAAAATACAAAAAATTAGCCGGGCTTGATGGCGGGCTCCTGTAGTCCCAGCTACCACTCAGGAGGCTGAGGCAGGAGCATGGCGTGAACCCGGGAGGCGGAGCTTGCAGTGAGCCAAGATCGCGCCACTGCACTCCAGCCTGGGTGACAGAGCGAGACTCCGTCTCAAAAAAAAAAAAAAAAGAAAGAAAGAAAGAAAGAAAGTGAATTCCCCCACAAGGGTCCCCACCAGCCCTGCCTTGTAAACGTGTTCTAAATCAAGGCTGAATAGAGGTGGAAAGTGTGGTCAGGTATGCGTCTTGGAAAGTCATCCCTGCCCACTAAGCCACTCCAGTCTGTAGAGTCACAGTCTTGAATATTTTTGGACAACAGAAAAATAAACACCCATGCCCAGAAGTCAGGGGCATCCCCAGGGATTTGGGCAACTCCCACGTTATCCAAGAGAGTTGGCAGCATATTTTCTACCTAGAGAATGAGGGTACTTTTTCCTTTGTAATATGATTTCTTGGCTGAAGAGGAACTATTAGGCACCCTGAGATGCTCTGTAGAAATGCAAGATGATATTGTATTGTATTAATGTCACTTAATGGTAGCTGTCAATGATGGTGATGGAATAAATATGGAAAAGGAAATTACTGTAATTGATTGACAGTCTGGAATCTTCCATATTCGACCTAATGAGAGAAACCTATGAGCAGCAGCTTCCAGTGCAGGCTATTAATGCAAATCATATGCACCGTACCGGCATGCTGAATTATGCAATGCCATGTGAATGTCTAATCCATTTCACCAGGCTTGTCTTTATCCAGAAAAAATATATATATATTTCGCTGACATGCTGATTCGTATATTAGGAGAGTTTAAGAAGTTTGGTGCTAAAGTAGGTGCCATCGTAGTGTTATTAATTTAGTTCTGAACAAGACAAACAGCTCTGTGCAGCCATCAAAATCACTACACAGGTCTACAAGATAACTTTGTCAAGACTGAGGGAATTTACAGAAAAGTCTTGTGATATGTGGAAGGAATTAGCAAATAGATAAGGAGCACACAATTTTTCTAGAAAACCACTGTCAAGGACTCAGTACCCATGCACAACCAGACATGTGCCAAGACATCTACCATGCCTGCACAGTTCTGTTTTGCAGTGGTTCCGAAACTTGTGGAAAGTTCTAATAGAACCAGATGTAAAAAGTCAAGGGAATAACAGGTAAAAAGATTTAGGCCCTGCTTTGGGGACCCCATGGAGATGTAAGTACTGGCCAGACATCATCTTCAAGAAGAGCAAAACACTCCCTGTGGGAATATGCTTTATATGGAAAGAAGTCTTTGTGACAGAAAAATAAGTTGCCAATTACCCACTAATTACTCATCCCCAAGACTCACAGCTTTGAGAAGTCCATGGCCCTAACCAAGCTCTTCACTCTCTGTACATATCAATACTTAAAATTTGGACCATTAGAGGAAGTGACTAGAATTCTAACTATGCGTCCCCCAGCTCCTAGGAGTAAGCTCTGACCTGGCTGCTCAGAGGTACCACAAATGTCCCCAGATTGGCAAGCACTGGACTGAAAGACAGAGAAAGAGAAGGTGTCATGCACTGCAATTTCCCACTAATGGTCTACAGAAAGACCTAAGTTGGTGCAGATTTTTTTTTTTTTTTTTTTTGAGACGGAGTTTCTCTCTTGTTGCCCAGGCTGGAATGCAACGGTGCAATCTCACTCCGCCTCTTAAGTTCAAGCGATTCTCCCGCCTCATCCTCCCGAGTGGCTGGAATTACAGGCATCCACCACCACACCCAGCTAATTTTTGTATTTTTAGTAGAAATGGGGTTTCACCATGTTGGCCAGGTTTGCCTTGAACCCCTGACCTCAGGTGATCCACCCGCTTCAGCCTCCCAAAGTGCCAGGATTATAGGCATGAGCCACCGCACCCAGCCAGAGATGAATTTTTATTTAATTCCACACAAATGTTTTGAACACCTTTTATGTGCCAGGTGCTGTGCTAGACCCTGGATATACAAGCTTACATTCTAATGGAAGAGGCAGTAGGAGGTGATAATTACAGGAGGATGTGAAGAGTGTCACAAAAGAGGAAAAAGCACAGGTATATAAGGGGGACTGAAGTAGCCTGGAGGCTCGGGAAGCTGTCGTTGAGGAAGAAGTCCTTAAGCCAGGACTCCACAGATACTGAATTTTTTAAATTGATAAATATAACAAGAATTGTATATTTTTATGGTGTACAACATGATGTTTTCACATATGCATACACTGGCATTCCAACTAGCTAAATCAAGCTAATTAACATATCCAATATCTCACATACCTATCATTTGTTGTAATACGAACATTTAAAATCTATCTTAGCAATTTTCAAGTATATAATATATTATTATTAACTATAGTCACTATGTTGTACAATTAATCTCCTGAGCTTATTCTATCTAACTAAAATTTTATATTCTTTGACCAACATCTCTACAACCCTGGCCCATCCACCAGGCCAGCCTCTGCCAACCACCATTCTACTCTCTGCTTCTATGAGTTCAGCTTTCTGAGATTCCACCCATAAGTGAGATCACACAGTATTTGTCTTTCTCTGCCTGGCTTGTTTCACTTAGCATAATCTCCTCCGGGTCCATTTATTTGTTGCCAATAACAGGATTTCCTTCTTTTTTAATGGCTGAATAATATTCCATTTTATATATGTAAAGCATTTCATTATATGTAGATATCATGGAATATTCTTTATGTGACATATATATGCATATACATACATATCGCATTTTCCTTATCCATTCATTCATGGATGGACGTTTGAGTTGTTTCCATATCTCAGCTAGCGTGAACAGTGCTGCAGTGAACCTGGGGGTGCAGAGATCTCCCTAACATACTAATTTCATTTATTTTAGCTGTATACCGAGATGCAGGATTGCTGGATCATAGGGTAGTCCTATTTTTAATTTTTTGAGGAAATTTCACACTGTTTTCCATAATGACTGTGCTAGAGAGTGGGGTGAGTTTTCATTTTAATAATCGTGTAGTAATACAAATGTGTATTAGGAAAAATATATACTTGACAAACTTATGATTTCATTGTCATTATATATACTGACATAAATTTTCCCTTTTAATTAATTATTTATTGAAGACATGGTCTTACTCTGTCCCCCAGGCTGAGTGCAGTGCTATGATCACAGCTCACTGTGGCCTTGAACTCTTGGGCTCAAGCGATCCTCTCACCTCAGCCTCTCAAGTAGTTCGAACTGCAAGGGTGTGCCACCATGCCTGGCTAATTTTTTTTTTTTTTTTTTTTTTTTTTTTTTTTTTAGAGACAGGGGTCTCACTATGTTGCCCAGGCTGGTTTTGAACTCCTGAACTCAAGAAAATCCTCTCACTTTGGCCTCCCAAAGTGCTGGGATTACAGGCATGAGCCACTGTGCCCAGTCAAATTTTCCCTTTTTAAATAAACCAACTTAATTTTTAAAGTGAGTTAACACAATATTAAGCAAACAACAGTGAATTAGTCCTCACATATACTGCAGACTGTGAATTTGGTGGTGAGTGACGTTTCGGAAACCCATATGAGGGAGAGGTGGCAGGGAGGTGAAGAGGGGCTGCCCCGAGGACAGGGCCCTGCGGGGAGAGTTGAAATAACAAAACTAAGACAGAGAAAGTCGACTCAGAAAGTTCCTCCATGAGCTCTCACATATATTGGATTCTTCCTTCATCACCAGTCCCCTGTGGTGTAACGTATTCTCGTCGAATTTTCTATAGAATAATTGAGGCCCTCACGAGGTTAACTAAAACACTAAGGTCACCCAGCAAGTTAGCAGCGCAAAGAGAATTAACAAAACGGCCGCCCTCGCCCAGTTGAGAACATCGGCATCTCTCACCTCCGAAGTTCCGAGGGTGCCGCAAGATGGAAAATGAAACTTTCTGTAAAGCAAACTGAGTAAAATAGAGGACTTCGGAGGAAAAAATAAGGGCTGCGGCTGGCTTGGAAAACATTACATTGTTTTCATTACCGTATGTACTTTGAGATGACCCAATTTGAAGGTGCTTGAAGAAGCTTGCTGAATATATGTTCTGTCTCTTTTCCTCTTTCCAAATAAGGCTACATTCACAGGTGCTTGCGACTTCAGCAACTTGTGACGGGGCAGACACAGTTCAACCCATAATACACAATACAGAATGTGGATTTTATTCTAAATGTAATCTCTTGGAGAATTTTAAGCAGGTGAATGATATGATCTGATTTCTGCTTTTTAAAGGTCACTCAGGGCCGGGCGCAGTGGCTCACGCCTGTAATCCCAGCACTTTGGGAGGCTGAGGTGGGCAGATCACGAGGTCAGGAGATCGAGACCAGCCTGGCCAACATGGTGAAACCCCGTCTCTACTGAAAATACAAAAAACAATTAGCCAGGCGTGGTGGCCTGTGGTCTCAGCTACTCGGGAGGCTGAGGCAGGAGAATGGCGTGAACCCGGGAGGCGAGCTTGCAGTGAGCCGAGATCGCACCACTGCTCTCCAGCCTGGGCGACAGAGCAAGACTCTGTCTCAAAAAAAAAAAAAACAAGGTCACTCAGGTTGCTGTGTGGAGAATGGATTATTAGGGCCAAAACCAGAGGCAGGGACACCAGTTAGTCCAAAAATTCAGGCAGGAGATGCTGGTGGCTTGGAAGAAGGTGTTCTGGTAACTGTAACCGGGTATATGCAGCACTTAGGCAGGTGGGGCCTCTCAAAGAATTGAACCAGGAAATGAGCTAACACTCAATCCAGAGAACTCCTAGTCCCTAAAAAGCCAGGTTGGCCACACTGGAGAGTCCACATCCTATCTAACACAATGTCCGGCTCTTGCAAAGACAAGAAAGGGCGTTCCATAAAAGATGAATGAGTCCTTCTCAACATCAACTTTGTAGCTGAGTTTTCCACCTGGCCCCCAATTATCCAGATAACTTATTAAAAGAAAACTTGTCATCCATGAGTTTCTCTACACCAAGGGAAGATGGTTCCGTTTCCCAGTCTCCACCATCGTAGGGATAATGAGCTCCATAAGCCTATCCCTGTTGTATGAGGAGAAGGAGAGGGTACTCGACCCAGAGCTCTTCCAGGAATCCTTACACTGGCTGCATTCTCAGTCTGGGAAGGCCAATTGTGTTCAATCCATTGCCCTGACTAGTGCTTCCTCAGCCCTGCCACCACGATTCACCAATTCCTTCTTTGTCCCTGCCCTGCCTCTTGCCCCATCTCTTTCCTTCCTCTGTCCCTGACCCCCAAGGCTCTCCTAGGCTTCCAGCTTCAGAGCTCATGATTCACTCACTCACTCAGCATTTACATGAGAGCACCTACTGTGTGCCAGGCTCTGCTCTAGATCCTGGGCATCCGGGCACCATGCTTGCTCTCATGAAGCTTACATTCTAGTCAGAAGAGACAAGCAAATAGAAGAATCAGTTTGGCCAGGTACAGTGGCTCAGGCCTGTAATCCTAGCACTTTGGGAGGCCAAGGCGGATGGATCACCTGAGGTCAGGAGTTTGAGACCAGCCTGGCCAATGTGGCAAAACCCCATCTTTACTAAAAATACAAAAATTACCTGGGCGTAGTGGTGGGCGCCTATAATCCCAGCTACTTGGGAGGCTGAGGCAGGAGAATTTCTCGAACCCAGGGGGCGGAGGTGGCAGTGAGCCAAGATCACACCACTTCTCTCCAGCCTGGGTGAAAGAGCAAAACTCCGTCTCAAAA